>NW_025791788.1:300000-482250 GCF_000001405.40 Homo sapiens
ATTACCATATCAGTGACATTTTCACTCTCCTCCAACCATGAGCACAATTAAGGTTTTGTTATTGTAATAGTGCATCAAAAAAGATCATCCTTCATATAATCCAAAATGTTTATGTTTTTCTGTGTACATTTTTGTGTCTTAAACTTTTTTTAAATTGTAAGTCAATTAGAAATTGTTGTTTTGTTAGCAGAAATATAACCTTGAAGAAATGCCAGTAAGTGAGGCCAGGCACTTGGTTGAATTAAATGAATAAATGAATTAGTATCTTGGTTATGAATTTTGAATGGATATTATAGGGAGATGGCATGGTTATATGATAGGTGTCAGAAATAAAATCAGGTAGAGTTTTAAATATAAGACAAAAAATTCCTCACATCGATAATCTTAAAGCAGATAACCAAATGTTAGGTGCACATTCCAAATAATATCCAAACTAATTTTGTGTATTATATTTGAGTAGCTTATGCAATACATTAAAAATACTACCTTTAAATTAAATAATAAGTTATATTTTATTAGGGTCTGGTCAGAAACAGAAACCACGCTAAGTGTTTCAAAGGAGGTTCTTTTTTTTTTTTTTGAGATGGAGTTTCATTCTGTCACCCAGGCTGGAGTGCAGTGGCGCAATCTCGGCTCACTGCAACCCCTGCCTCCTGGGTTCAAGCAATTCTCCTGCCTAAGCCTCCCGAGTAGCTGAGATTACAGGCACCTGTCACCACACCCGGCTAATTTTTGTATTTTTAGTAGAGACAGGGTTTTACTATGTTGGCCAGGCTAGTCTCAAACTCCTGACCTTAGGAGATCCGCCCGCCTTGGCCTCCCAAAGTGTTGGGATTACAAGCGTGAGCCACCAGGCCTGGCCTCAAAGGAGGTTCTTCAGGGAGAGAGAGACAGTATTACGAAGATCATATTTTCTTTAAGTGCTAAACATTTTGTTGGACATTTTAATTGGTTTATAAATGGCTTATCTAGGCAAAGATTATTCAAAAATTAATTTTGGAAATTATTCTTAATAGTGACGATAAAGTGTTCTACATCTGCTTGTTTGTTATAATTTCAAGATGTCCCATTCATTTGAAAAACTTACCCAAAACGTGTAAAGCATTCATTCCTTTGAATGTGTCCTTTTGTATTTTCTTAACTTTATTTTCATGAATTCTGAGTTCTGCTAATGATTTGGGAAGATTAAGTGGTATTTCACTTAGTTGATTGTGGGACAGATACAGCCTTCGCAACTTCTTTGTGGTTAGAAAGGCTTTTGGGTGAATCTTCGTTAGCTTGTTGTTGTTCAGGATCAGACCCTTGATCAAGCATAGAAAGTTACACAATATTAGGAAGTGGATTTGATTTACCAGTATTCTACAGTGATTAGCCAATGATGGAAATCAGTACAATTTATATCAGTGGTGTACTAGATCACCCATGTAAAAACTTTCCCAGCCCAATCTAAGCTTTTAAAAAAATTTTACTACTGAGTTAGAAAAGTGCAGAGCTATAATAATTAATGTTGTGCCATTGGTTTAGATAGAAGTGCATCTTTTTAATCTTTGAATAGATAATACTTTCATATGGCTAAGCCTTCAACCTCTACTCAGCCTCCTATTTCCCTTCAGGGAAGTGACCAGTGATATTATCTTTATCTTATCTTAAAATCTATTTACTCTACAAAACTATGTTTAGTGCACACCAAATATACTTTTGCATGATTTTGTCTACTTTGAAAACCTCATTTCTTTCATATTTACTAATGTTTACCATTTCTCCCAGAACAGAGGCCTGTAAGGAAAAAAATCCTACCATGTGCCCTCAGCATTCTGGCATATTTTAGATATTGGGGATATAGTAATGGATCCTGAGAAATGACTCAATCTCTTATCAGTTTTTTGGGTATTTCTCAGGGCAATAAGACAGCATCCTCCAGAGGAGGTCTAATAACTCCAGAGAGTAAAAAGAGCTCGTACCAGTGTGAGTGTGCTCTCTGCACAAGTCTTTTGCAACATGTCCAAGGGTGCATGGCTGCTTGGGTGACCAGCCATCTCAGTCTGCCCAGATCATGAGATTATGGGATGTGGGGATTTCAGAACCCAAACTGGGAATGTCCTAGGCAAACTGGGACATGTTGGTAACTCTGATAAGGATTTTCATTGCAAAATGAGCATAGCTCAGTTCTTTACTCTTTGCCAGATTGTTCAAAGAGAATTTCTGTGTTTACCAAGAATGATGACAGGCCACTAAGCGTCTTCAGGACCTTTTTGTCCCTCTTTACCAATCCAGGTCATCTGATTTTCTCAAGGAGCAGCTCTAGATTCATTCATTTTATGATTTTGTTCTCAAATTCATTTCACAAAAATCTCCCTTTGTTTAATATGCCTCACTGGTATTACTCATATTGTTGTTGTTTTTCCATGGCAGAAATACACATTTTGGTTGCTCAGTAAACTTGTATCTGCACGTTTCCTCATCTCACTCTTGGCCCTTTGTGCTTTCCTTTTCTCACCCTCTGGAAATTCCAGATATATCACTATTGCTAAAAGTTTCACCAAGAAAGGGTAAGCCTAGGAGAAGAGGTGAAACTACATTTTGTTACCAACTGGTAAAATATCCTCGTTTGTGAGTGTGTGATGCCAACTAAAAGTATCTTCTCTTTTCCTTTGGTTACACTGAAAAATGAGGTGAGGGGAATTTAACAACTTGGTGGATCATCAAGATGGTTTGTGAATCCTCTCTTGATTCCAAGAGGTAAATTTAGCAGGAATTATTACTCTCCTTTTAGTGATGAGGAAATGCGTAAAGTGAAGAAAGGTGACTTGCCTATGCCATGCAACAAGTGAGGGTTAGAGAGGCCCCACCACAAAGTGAACCTGTGCGTCAGTGAGATCCAAGTCTAGTGCACTGGGCTTTTATTAGTTTGTTTTTCCTAATTAAAACATGCAGTTGTTGGAACTGCATAAAAGGAAGGAAAAGTAATACAAAACTGTGTAAGAGGTTTTGTGCAGCACTGGTAAGAGCCGCGCCACATGGTGGACTGCCTGCCCTGCATGGTGAGCTGGCTGAGTGATCCAGTTAAACTGCACTCTCAGTGCTGGCTTGATTATCACAGAGCTTCCAATTCATCATTAACAAACAGTGTAAGGACAGAAGATGAGAAGAGCATAGCCATTCAGTAGTAGGACAGTGATTCATGCCACATGTGTCTCATAATGGCTGGAAGTGAGCTGGGAGGGCTGTGATTGTGTTCAGTGATTTTGCTCTGACTGTATCATCCTTTGTGTAAGAACCCAAGTGCCAAACAAGCAGCTAAAACTTAACACAGAGAATTTGTAGAATGTCTAAAAAATAGTTTGATTCTCTTAAAAGACAGGTACCATATAAGGTGATACTATAATTATATAAATGTTTTGTAATTGTGTGGTATACCTACAATTCAAGTATAAAGCATGTACTTTAAAAAGTGATTTACATCAGTACACCTGGTCAGTCTGCTAATAGTAGCTTGGCAGTAATACTACTTAACAGCTGGGGGCTTTCCCTCCATTGCTCTACACCTGACATGCATTTCTCAAAGGAAATCAAGTAGGTCTAAGAAAGCTCCTGATACCATTTAGTTTCTCATTTCCCTGTGAATAACAAGAATAAGTATGGACTAAGTCCCTGGAATGCTCCTAAAATGTAATAAAATAATGATATGATGAATTTAAAACTTTCATAGCCCCAGTATTAAATATGCCATTAGTTATTATTCTTGTGGTTATCTAAGCTGAAAAGGGGTTGAAGAAGTGGTAAACGCATCAACAGGCTATATTTCCAACTTCTGTTGGTGGAATAATGGCCTGCCATTCTCCAAAAGATTCTGTGGCCTAAAGTTAGTGGGGTGGACTGGGTGGATCCTCGGTGGAATCCATTGTGTCATTTCTGACTGTCTTAATGTTTTAGTGAGACCTAACTTATAAATATATGCTCTTCTAGTTGCTCTTTTATATTGATAATGGAGGCTTACCAGATCTGAGCTGCCTGCACACTTTGAAAGTGAAAAGAGCAGACAAGGTGCTGGCTACCTGACCGGGCAGTGTGAGAGCTGGATTTTGTAGGGAGGCTTGATGCAAGGATTGAGCATCCCTCAGTCTGCCTTAAGTATGATCAGCATGCATGTCCTCAATCCCAGGGTGACAGGGAGGAAGAGATGGGCCAGCAGGGTCCACTGCACTGACCCAGGGTGACAGGGAGGCATGGTGACCCCACATCTCTCAGACACAGGAACAGGCCAGGCCTGCATGGTAGCAAGGGGCTAATATTGTTATGGTATTTTCTACCCTGTTCTCTTAGTTTTATCTTATCTAGAGATGACAGACTTTAAATTTGTTTTCTCCAGCACAGCCTGAGAGTGTGGGGAAATGGCCTGGAATAGCCAGGCCTGGCTTACCACCTCAGATGATACAGAACCAGAGCTCTTCCTCTAACACCATGCCAGAGTCAGCGAGGCAGGAGCTGTGCTGAGGGGAGGCGGTGGCGGGGGAAATGAGGTGCTCCTCCAAACCCAATTTCAGACTAAATCAGAAATTTTACTTGCTAAAATCTGGAGACTTCGAAATGATTTTTTTGGTTTGTTTTTGTTTTTAAGACAGGGTCTTACTGTGTCACCCAGGCTAGAGTGCAGTGGCATAGTCACAGCTCACTGCAACCTCTACCTCTTGGCTAAGACTACGTGCACCACCACCATGCCAACTAATTTTGTATTTTTTATAGAGGTGGAGTCTTGTTGTGTTGCCCAGGCTGATCTCGAACTCTTGGGCTCAAGTGATCCGCCCGCCTTGGCCTCCCAAAGTGCTGGGATTATAGGCATGAGCCACCACACCCAGCCCAAAATGTTAAACATGGAAGTAGTAATCTTTTAAATCCTAGAATATTAAAATGATACTAATACAGTAAAGAAAAAATTCTTTTCTTCTTTAAAGATCCAATAAATAAGCCATACATGTATATATTAATCAATCAGATATATTCTGTGTGCTGCTGTTAGAGATTTGTGGTGTCTTAACACGTTTGGGTAGAGATTTCTTACACTGTTTGCTAATGATTGCTGTAAGTAATTGTTTTCTTGTTCATTTTAATGTATAGTGACTGTTACTACCTGAATAGATTGTAAGCTTATTTGAGGACCATTAAACTCAGCCCACTACATTTTACATGGCTATTATTTAATAAACATCCATTGAATTAGACTATTAATTGAATGAAATCTATAATTTTTAATTGACTAGAACGCTGTTGAATGCAGGGATTTTTGTCATTCTTTACAGAAAAGTAAGACTTGTTTATACTAACATAGTATAATTAATCATTATAGCAAAGATACAGAGTTTTCACTTAAATCTTTGAAAGTATGAGGATATATTCTTACATAAAGTGAAGTGAGTCCTTTAAAATCATTTTCTTTGATTTCCTTAATTTTATTGTTTTGAAGATCAAGCATTCGAGTATCAAATGGAATGTTGGTTGGGACTGAGGTCAAACCTTAGAAAGAAACAAACATATTATATAATAGAGAATCATGCTGAAGATGAGATTACTAATATGGTAGAAATATACATTTTTTAAAACCCATGATTATCATCAAGTTACAGATGACTTAACAGTCATAACAGATGACAAAAAAAACATTGTTTTGGGGGAAGACCTCAGGACCTTTTTGAGTAACTTATTAATTTTTACAAGGTGTCTAGATTGGTATAGTTGTCACTACTCATCCCCTCTAAGGTGGAATAAAAGGAGATAAATTGGAGCGGCCTTAGTGGCTGTGAGAAGGTGACCAACCACTGAGGTGCAGCTTCTGTTGATGTACCTTTGGCTGAGGAATGTTAGCTTTCTTTGCAAATTTTCAGGCTGTTATAGTGCTAAATTGGAGCATATGGGTCTTGATAATTTTTCTTTCTTTTTTTTTTTTTTTGAGATGGAGTCTCGCTCTGTTGCCCAGGCTGGAGTGCAGTGGCATGATCTTGGCTCACTGCAACCTCGGCCTCCCGGGTTCCAGCAGTTCTCCTGCCTCAGCCTCCTGAGTAGCTGGGATTACAGGTGTGTGCCACCACGCCTGGCTAATTTTTGTATTTTTAGTAGAGACGAGGTTTCCCCATGTTGGTCAGGCTGGTCTCAGACTCCTGACCTCGTGATTCGCCTGACTGGGCCTCCCAAAGTGCTGGTATTACAGTCGTGAGCCACCGCACCCAGCCGGGTCTTGATCATTTTAAGAAGCCTTAGATAGTTGTGTTTAGAAAATGGAAAAATTAGATTTTTTTCATGTATATTACCAAAAACTTTACCACCCATTTCCTTTAAGTAATTAACTTCTCTAATTAGTTGTAAATTCTTTGATTTCCACATACTGATTCATATATTATTCTTTTTTTTTTTTTTTTTAACTTGAGACAGTCTTGCTCTGTCGCCCCGGCTGGAGTGCAGTGGCGCCATCTCGGCTCACTGCAACCTCCACCTCCTGGGTTCTAGTGATTCTTCTGCCTTAGCCTCCCGAGTAGCTAGGATGTGTACCACCATGCCTGGCTAATTGTTGTATTTTTACTAGACACAGCGTTTCGCCATGTTGGCCAGGCTAGTCTCGAACTCCTGGACTCAAGCGAGATGCCTGCCTTGGCCTAGATGTCAGTACACTTTTGATAGAACCGTCCTCACTCCTGAAGTGTAGTCATACATTTAATAGCCAAAAATTGAAGAATTGAAAATCTAGTATTTGAATATCAACATTCTATCCTACAGCTCTATGTACTTTTCCTTTCTATACTTTAAAATTGGTCAGGCATGGTGCCTTACGCCTGTAATCCCAGCACTTTGGGAGGCCGAGGTGGGTGGGTCACTTAAGGTCAGGAGTTGTAAGACCAGCCTGGCCAACATGGTGAAAGAAACCCCGTCTCTACTAAGAATACAAAAATTAGCTGGGCATTGTTACACGTGCCTGTAGTCCCAGCTACTCGGGAGGCTGAGTCAGGAGAATCGCTTGAACCCAGGAGGCAGAGGTTGCAGTGAGCCAAGATAGTGCCACTGCACTCCAGCCTGGGTGACAGAGTGAGACTCTGTCTCAAAAATAAAAATAAAAAAATAGGCTGGGCGCGGTGGCTCACGCCTATAATCCCAGCACTTTCGGAGGCCGAGTCGGGTGGATCATGAGGTCAGGAGATCAAGACCATCCTGGCCAACATGGTAAAACCTCGTCTCTACTAAAAATATAAAAATTAGCCAGGCATGGTGGTGTGCGCCTTTAATCCCAGCTACTCAGGAGGCTGAAGCAGGAAAATCGCTTGAACCCAGGAGACGGAAGTTGCAGTGAGCCGAGATCGCGCCATTGTACTCCAGCCTGGGTGACAGAGCAAGACTCTGTCTCAAAAAAATAATAATAATACTAAAATAAAATTGATACTTTCTTAAGAAATTTAACCCTATATGGGAAGAAGAAGGGGGGTAACTTGATGAATTAGCAAGGTAGGGTGCAGTTTTGTTTGTTAGAATAGATTAATTTTGCCATTTTTATGAACACAGGATATTATTTTGGTTTTAGAAAATGAAGTGGAAGTCTTATAGGAAGCTGGAGGTTCTGCAGAAGGGATCCTCCTGGTAGCACAGATTTTGACAAACCTACTCCTGCCCTGCCCCTGTTAAAACTGAAGTTCTGAAGAGTTTCATCTCCTGAGGGAGGAAGAGTGATAAGTGCCCAGACCCTTTTTATGGTCACGTTTTGGGGGAGGTAGGATGGGTGCAGCAGCATGCTGATGGCATGTCTGACTGTCACAGATATTCTTAGGTGGATTTTGTTTACTAGAGTTTTTTCAAAGCTAAATGTTTGGGAGACTGTGTGTGATGGGAACACCAGCTTCCTGCCATGAGGTAGCTTGGGCTTCTCAAGTCTTTGGTGACAAGTGTGTTCTGGAGTAGTTTTATGCAATGTCTCATGCAGGGTCTTCATGTTGGAAGCATATGACTGCTCTGCCGTGGCACATATGGAGGCCAGCACGTGGGGGTGGTCTGCACTAAAGATAAATGTGTCCTTATTCACCATCTTACCCAGAACTAACCCAGTTTACATCTGGTGGAGTCATAGCAGATACACATATTTTTATCTGGAATTTTGACTTACAAAGTGCTTTAACATGCACCCACTTTGCAAACTGATGGTAGGTAACGTTTTTTCTTGTCTGAGATGCAGTTTAGTACAATAGTACATTCTCATATTCCCTAACTAACCTCTTCTCACACCCAGCATCTGTCTCAGCTTCTGCATTTCTTGTTCCTGATGCTGTTTCCACAGTCGTTCTACATGAACAAGTTTTCTCAAACAGTACTTGCATCTTAATCTCTTTCTCATGAGAATTCCACAGGTAAAGCTTAAGACCCATTTTTTTTCCTAGCCTATTTCATTAGACTTTACTAGTAAGTCTAGCTCGTATTAGTCTCCCCTTTTTCTGAATGCTTTTTGTTTGCCTCTCATTTTGTCATATAATGACAAACTTCATTAAGGTCTCTAGAGTAGATTATTGTAAGCTTTAACTCTTGCCATGAATGCTATGGCAGTAGGAAGCACGTCTAATGCTTTTCAAGACATCTGCTCATACAGACTCATGAAGTGACCCTGATGGGCCATCAGCCCCTGAGTGGGAGTTGTGTGCCAGACCTTGGCCTCCACAGTGGGGCCAGTCTCAGCTGTCCCCTCTTGGAAATAGCTGAAGGCAACAACTCTTGATATGCATTCCCATTAAGTCCCGTCCTTGAACGGGACATGGCTGTGCTCTTGAGTGCTCCTTCATTAGAAGTATTAAAGAAATAAAATACTCAGCAAAGAATTATAAATTTTAAAAAGACTTTATCCACTTTTTTCTTAGGCAGTTTTAAACCCAAATTGCTAAAAAGCAAATAAAGCATTATCTTTAAAAGGTCTAGATTAGAGATTTCACAAGCTTTCTATAACTCATTTCATTGTTCTAGACATGCAGCTTATTTTGTTATCATGGAGTTTTACTGAAAAGTACAGTCTCAACCTGCTAGCACCCTGAGATAGAACTGCATGTGATGTCCATTCTCTCTGAAGGGAATTAAAATTAAATGCTTTGATTTAACTGGGGAAGAGAAGGAAATGTTCTATGGACAACATTCCCTTAGTTTTCCTTTGATTTTCTTAATTTTAAAAATAAGTTTGGATGTACTTTGGGGTTTGCTGTACTTTCCACCTAAAAACTTAAATGAAAAAAACTTATACACTCAGATTATTTTTGAAATTTCAATGAGACTTTTTCCATCCTTTAAATTGTCAGAATAGCATTACTATTCTTCAAAACAAAATCGACTTATATTCTTACCTAAATCTGAGCAATGTACAACTCGTGAATAGCACTGACATCCAAATGGACACATTGGAAACAGATCAAATGGAAAAAAATGGCTTCTTGGCTCTCTTGTTGGAAAAAGAGAGTTGTCCTCATCATCATCATCATCATCATCATCATCATCATCATCATCTGTGTCTTCCATATCCTTCAGCATCATATTCTTCAGTGCGATGTGTGAAGGGCTAAAGAAGGGTTTGGCAGAGCACAAAGCCAGGAATAATAGGAGCACATACTCCTTCATGGTGTCTTAGTGTAGAAGACCAGTCTAGGACTAAACAGACATGGGATATTAAATTTAAATGGATATAATTCCTGCATATATACATTTCTCAGTTCTGGCAAGAGTGCAATGAAATGGCATTTTAATCCATTGCTTAGCTAATCTGAGAGTAAATTTATAAAGATTTTTGGAAAGCAATTCAGCAATGTGCATTGGGAACTCTAAAAATATCTCTTTTTCAGATAGTAATTCTACTTTTTAAAATCTAGTCTCAGGAAACATTTCTAAAGTGCACAAAGATGTTCATCACAGAATTATAATAGCAGAAATATTTGAGACAATTATATAATGGTTAAAGGGGAATAGTAAAATAAAAGAGTATATTTATTCCATGAAATATTTTGGAACCCACAAAATGCTTGCAAAGACACTTTTAAATATGGGATATTATCTTTTGTGAAATAAAAAAAAGCAAATATAAAAAATCCATAAACTGTATACTTACAAACACTCATAAACAAACAAAAACAAACCTGGCAGGAATATACCTGATTGATGATAAACTCTGGGCACTAGAACCATAGATGACTTGTGTTTTCCTTTTTCCTTTAACTTTCATAATGAGCAATGAGTATTACCTTTATAATGAAAAAGCTAATAAACATCGTAAAAACAGAAACAGATTATCTTACCTAACTCTGTATTCCCAAAATCTTTCTATTGCCTTAATGTATTCAGTGTCCCTGAAGGAGGAATATCTTCATTGTCTCCTTAGACAACATCTGGAATTTTTCCTTAACTGATTTCTCTCCACCTTTCCCAACCTCACTCTCATAGTTGGTCACTTTTTCCACAATTGGTATCTTTTTCCTTCTAATCTGTTCCATTGTCTAATATTTGATCCAAACTGTCTGATGTCCAGACTATTCTTTCTTACTCATCTTTCCACTGAGTTCGGTTTGCTTGTTTTGTTTTTGGGGGGCCAGGTTGTTTTCAGTTGCATTTTTAAAATGCACACAAAACAGAACTATACAAATGAGAACCTTCAGAGCATAGATTTATTGCCATATTTACATATCCTAATTTTTAAATTATTACCTGTGAAATGTGTATATTCTTTGAAAATTTCAAAAATTAAAAACATTATGAAATTATTCAAAATAGATGCATCCTAGAGATGCTCACTGGTGAAACTGAGTCCTGGCAGGAGGGCATCCACTCACCACCACAGCAGAGGGCTCCGCAGACCCTAATAGTCCACCAGGCTACAGTCACCTAAATAGTCCTCCAGGCCTGCCATTGCCCGAGTGCCAGAGAGCAGCTGAGCTGCAAAAGACTTCTATAGTCAGCCAGGATTGGCCCAGCCTCGGGAAGACCTACCCCTCCAAATCCCAACTGGTTGCAATTTCCCAGAACCAAAAAATCAGCTTTAACATCTCTCCATGGGCCTGCTTTTTCCTGGATTTAAAAATCAAGAATGAATTCATTAACTTAATAAATATCTTCATTTATATATGGTATGTCTTTTTTAATCACCAGACGAGGGCTAGAATGTCCTACTGTCATTAGTTATTAACCTGATAATTACTTTATTTAATTTCTCATATGCTCCAAAAATCTAAATGGTGGCATGAACATTTGCCCACTGGGTAGCTGGATGGCACTGGTCAGGTATGTGTGATATTCCTGTGATAATCCACACTAACTTATGCTAGGAAGGAGGTTACAGGACAGATCTGAGAATGGCAAGAGTTTTTTATATTTTAATAATCCTATGCTGATTCCAATTTCAAAACTAGCCCTAGCCTCCCATCTGTACACTACTTTGTGGAGGTGTTAATTCAGATGTTATTCTAGACTCATCCCTCATAGGAAATGAGGCGTAAAGAGCTTAAGTGACTTGCCCAAAGTCACCTACCAAATATAAATGGAGCCAGAGCTAGGGCTCATGTGTCCCAACTCCCTGTTCTGTGCTGCCTTCTGCTCCAGCTCATGTGGGGGGACTCAGTTGTTTTATCCAGAAATCTCGTGGCTTCATGGGCATACTCTGTCATTTTTTCTTATCTAACCAGTATACAAATTACTGTTCTGTACACATCTGTACATAAAGAAGCACCTGTGTAGCTTGGATTGGAAGGTAGAGAACAGAATGATTGTGTGATCAGATTTGTGTAGTACTGGGTGAGAGATTGTGCTGGCAACACAGGGTTCAGTGGCTTCTTTTGGAGAGCCCCAGGTGGAAATCACCAACTGTGGCTGACTACTGTTCTGTAGCAGGCATGGGGTGTCCCTGCTGGCAGGCAGGTTGATGTTTCGTATTCCAGTCATCCTGTGAATGCTGTATGGGGTCCTGGTAAAGGTTACTGGGGGCTTCCTTCTCAATATCACTTTGTCCCTGGCACATTGTCTCTGTGCCTTTGCTGTCTGTCTAACTTTGACTCATTATGTGTTTTGACTTAGGGCTGTTGTGTGGCTCCTGACTCCTTAAGGTTTAGTGCCCAGCTTTGCCTCAACCTTCAAAATACTCATTCCCTAGAAAATTCAGCTCTTGGTCCTTAGCTAAATCAAAGTTGGCCCCTGATTCCAGTTTATTCTGTAACATTCTTGCATTACAGCTCTGTCTTCTAGGTGCATAGCTGCCCTTGACCTTGTCTGACCTTGGCAACAAGGAGCTATAGAATTATAATGTCATTTAAGGTCCTGTTTCTGGCTTTCTTTGAGGTTGCTGGAGTTATTCAGTGGGCATTTACCAAGCACCCACTGTACCCCATGCAGTGTCACTCGTCAGAATGCTGAATTTCTTAAAGTAGAGCACACCTTCCTCCCCATCCTCTTCTCTCCCACACTTCCCTACTCAAAAATAAAAAACCCGCAACTCCTAATCAACTACTGTCAGGTAATACGAGATCGTAAAGTTAACACTTGAATGTCAGGTACATTAATAGAAAAACTAAAAAATAAAATGCCTGGATTAGTAAATAGACAATGTAAACTGTATATACTGTGACTTATGGGGTAGGAACAGGGGTGTAGGGCTTTAACACTAGATGTGTGGTACCCAGAGCTTTGAAAGTAAAATTCTTCACCGTGTCTGTCTACGCATAACCCTCAGTTTACTGTTTGAGACCAATAGAACTAAAGACATTTATAAAAACATATATTCACATGAAAAAAAGATTGAAATAGAATGTACAAACCTGGTAAGAGGGATAATGGGATTATAAGCAAAGCATTTTTTTTTTCTTCCCATGCATAGTTTCTTAATTATGTTGCTTTTAAAATATTTTAAATGTCAGTCCGCCAACAGAATTTTCTTTGCTTTATTTCTGCATATACTGCTGTCTTTTCCTACCACTTTTGGTAGGAATTGGTGTAATCAAAGGTTTCTCATACACACTATTCTCATCTATTTCTACCCAAAAGTCAAACAATAGCACCTACTTGGGAAATTGTTTTGGGGTTCACAATTTCTTGAGGCTTAATCCTATTTGTTCTGGTCAATGGGAAATGAAGATTTTGACAAGGTTATTTTTTAAGTTGGTTGATTGTGCTTTTTTGTTTGTTTTTTTGGGGTTTTTTGTTTGTTTGTTTGTTCGAGATGGAGTCTCACTTTGTCGCCCAGGCTGGAGTACAGTTGCGCCATCTTGGCTCACTGCAACCTCCACGTCCCAGGTTCAAGTGATCCTCCCACCTCAGCCTTCAAGTAGCTGGGATTACAGGCATGTGCCATCATGCCTGGCTAATTTTTTATATTTTTGTAGAGATGGGGTTTCACCATGTTGGCCAGGCAGGTCTTGAACTCCTGACCTTAAGCGATCCACCCATCTCGGCCTCCCAAAGTGTGCCACTGTGTGAGCCACTGCACCCAGCCTGAATGTTTTAGTTTAAGTTTTTTCCCATAGAATCTTTGAACCAAATGGGCTTTAGATTCCCAGTCTGGACCGGAAAAACCTATTTAACAGATAATATATCCAAAATGTAGAAACAAAAAAACTATGGAACTTAAAAAAAAAAAGTAAAACACCAGGAATGTGTTAGAGATCCAAAGTGGGGTGCCAAGAACACATCGTGGTGTTCCTTGTGGCCTGGCAGCGGGAGCAAGGACTGGCCTCAGCTCCTTTGCACACCACGTAATGGTTTCCCAGATGCCTTCAGCCTCGTGCCACCGTCAAGAGAGGCTTCCCCAGTACTGAGCTGAGGTTCGAGATGAGGAACTGGATCAGGTATGAGGAGCAGAACTGAGAGTTGAGAGGAGAAGGAGAAGGCACACAGGGCAGGGAAGGCAGGGAGCAGAACAGTAGTGGTCCTGCTTTTTTCCACATCCCTGCCTCAGGGCTGCTGACCAGTCCCCCAGTGGCATCAGGAGAAGCATCAGCCGGGGCCCCTTCCTTTGTCTCTCCTCTTTCTGAGACTGATAAGTTACAGGAGACCCTCCCTGCCTTTAATCAAAACTGCGGTAAAATTAAAATATGAAATGGAGACTTCTGCCTGCAAGTTTTAGGCAGTAGCATTATCTTTAGCTGTTGGGAAGCATTCCAGTTGCTGAGCAGTGGAGGCAGCCACTTTTATATAGTAGTTAGGCCCTTTCCTGGAGAATAAGAGATGAAGACCTTTGAAACAGGAGTTCCTCCTGGTGGTGAAGGTTCCAGAACATTCTGGAACAGGGAGCATATCCACCCTGCTTGAATAGCTCCAGGGAGAGGATACTACCTCAAGGCAGCATCTTCCACAGTTGTCCATCCATGGCTGTTAGGAAAGTCTTTATATGGAAACTCAAAAATGCCTTCTGGAAAATTCATTTCTCTCTGCTAGTTCTGTCTTCTGTTAGCCTTTTACAATTAATCTAATCTTTTGCATTTGTGTATCCTGGTTGCTTGCAAAGAAAAAAGTCAGGCCAACCTTGATACCATGAGGAATTCATTATTTACACTCTTTACCTGAGTCTCTTGCTGGGTCTCTTCCACTGCTTTGTTAATAAGTACAATCAAGTATAGGTCCTAAACCTCCCCCAGTTCAGTGTGCAACTGTTTACCAATAGGAAAATAATGGAATGTCTAGGAGAGAACCCTAGATAGCAGTATTTTTTTCTTATTATTCAGAAAGAATGTAGAGAATATTATATGTCATTTAAAATGATATGACTTTTGGCTGTTTTATTTTGAGTTTATTAATGAGGTACAACCTCTGTTTTATTAGTTTTGGCAGTATTCAGGTTACTCTATTTTTAAACCCTTTAAAAATATTAAATCTTCTTCTCAGGAATACTCAATATTTCCCTGATTTAGACCAGTTTTGCCAGTGTTTTCCACTCATGGAAAGCTTTGGATTTTGGTTTCAAGTCTCTCTTAATCAGAGTAGTGTTTGGAGTATTCTTCCAGTGCTACTGCTATTACTAATAAATCATAGTAGCCTAGAGCTAAGAGAGGTCTTTGAGACTTTCCCCCCATGGCCCTCTTTTACTGAGAAAAAGCAGAGGCAGTGAGCGTCCAGAACTGGCTGGAGGTGGTGGAGCTGAGGGCTGGCTTCCTCACTGCTTGTTGGTTGTGCTTTGCACTAGACTGCATGTCCTCCTAAATGGATTTTAATCTCATAGTTACTTCCAGACAGTAAACAGACTTTCCTCTGGAAAAGCCTAGGTAAGGAGGTTTGGCCAAGTTCTTAAAAGAGTTCATAACATATGGACTGGAAATAAAGCTTAAGAAGCACATAAGCTTTCTTGTTTCCATTTAACTGGTCTACAAACTTAGAAAGTTTATCTAAGTGAAATGGTATTTCCTCTCAGACACTATTATTAGGTAAATAAGTCACTGTGCTTTTAAATCCCATGTTTAAAGGCCCGCTTGGCAACTTTTCCCCTGGGTTTAAACATGCCTATCAGTTCACAGGTACCAGTAGCAGATTTCAGCATATAAATGTGATATAACATACTCCATATATTTCACCGAAGGAATCCAAACCAAATTCAGATGTAATCAAGGCATAGTCTTGTAAGCTAACAAATGAGTTAAAAGTCCAACATGCATTTGGAAACTTATTCACAGTACCATTTGTTCATGGATACTGATAAAGATAGCACTTTCCTTAAAAAGTAGTTAATTTTACCTTAGAAGTATAACTAGCATTCTGACAAAGCATTCTAGCTGTTCTTCCTTTTATACTAATTTTGCCCTTCATTAATTTCTCCACATGTCTAGCAATCAAGCTACTGTCTTAAAAAACAAAATCTACTGCCTCTCCATTTTTATGATGTTTCCCACAGTGCCTCAAGACTTGTGCTTGTAAAGTTAATTGTTTTTGTCTCAAACCTCAGATCAGTTATCAGAATATTTGTTTTTAATTGAGTAGTTAGTTGTAACAGAAGACTATATATCCTCTGTTCTTTCCACTACTGCACTATACTCCTTAATGCCAAAAAACAAACTAAAAACATCAGGATCCTTTTATGTGTGTGGGCTTGTGCTCGATTTTTCTTTCTTTTTTCATTTCTTTCTTTTAACAGCTTGATTCTTGGATTTAAACAACTTTATTTTTAGGGAAATACAACCCCCTCAGGTTCTTTATGACTCAGTCCCTACACCATGTGGCCACTGTTTCCTGGGTGCCACACCTCTGAATAGATTAACATGAAAGAATGCTGTGCGCTATTTAGATTACTAGGGAGTAGAATATTGAATACATTGCTTAAATTTTTTAATCTAAAATTTAATCAGAAATTTACTTTGGGAGTAGACAAAGGAAATCTTTGAAAGTGTTAAATTCTGACTGTATACATGCTGTGAAAATTTCCTAATCTTTCATATTGAATATAGTGCTAGCTAAACTATTGCTGATAAGTATTCTTTCTTGGAATTGAATAGATTTCCATTTGAACTTTTCAGTGCCATTTCATTATAATAAGGAAGACATTTATCAAGGAAAAAAATGAATATTCAAATGTATAAGTAAAATTGACATTTCAGTAATTCACACATTTTAAATACACATTAGAAAATATTTTAAATATTGAAAAATATATTTACTGTTTCATTTAATATAGCTGTGATATCCCCAAACTTCATGATCATTATTATAGCAATGTTATTTTCCTAGATAAACATACAAGATGTTTATTTAGATGACTTTTAAAATCAATCATGTTAACATTTATGGTAAGGCATAATGACAGGTTTTCACTTAGCTGAAAAAAAAAGTCACATAATTATATTTAAAATACATTCATTATAGGTAAGACATAAAACTAGAATAATTTTAGGTACAAATTTAGGTTTGTATTTAAATGCTGATTTTTAAGAAATTATAGAGATAAACTTTGGACTTTATCCTATTATTTATAAGCATTTATTAATAACATTAATGTCTCCTTAGTATTGACTGTAAAGTATACATCGATACTTGTAAGATAGACATGAAACATACCTGTCAGAAGAGAGTAGTCCTCCTAAAAGTAGAAGTTATCCACCATGTACTACTTATCTATAATGTAAATGTTCTCAGACACTGTGTAAGAAGAAAAGATGAGGAGGTATTACATTTAAAAGAAAAAAAACACCCTTCAACACAGTCCTGGTGTGGCTGCACCCTGGGTGATACTGGAATAAACTGCTCCCACAGATTAGTCCATGTTAGTACTGAGGAGCAAGATTAAAACTTGTTACTGCTCATGTGTTTTCCATCACTGTTTGTATCGTAGCCAAGACTTCTAGCTAAACTCTAGACGTCTACTGGAAGATTCTGAAGAAGAAAAAAAAAGAAAGTTTAATAATGCATGGCAACTGGCCATTGAAAGTGCAGTCGGAGTCATTCAAGAAATACCTAGTTTTAAAAATATTAGATTCTTAAGTGAATGAATATTTGTAAATTACAATTTCAAAAATTACTCAACCTGTATAGACTAATAAAATATTTATCAATCTGAATAAAGGATACCAACATTACTGAAGTATATACCCAAACTTCAGATGTACCTGAGAAAGAACCATACTTTTTTTTTCTTCTAATGACTGTAGCTATTGCATTATGCATACTTCTCCAGACTTTTTTTTTTTTTTAAGCTTTTAGCACTGCTATAGCATGTCAGGGAAACTATGGATGAGGCTCCATGAACTGCTCCCTGGACTCAACATATGTGATATAACACAGACACACATGCATGTCCAAGTAACACCCTCTTAGGATGCATACAACTTTCCCTTTTCAAGAGAATATTAGCTATGGCCTCACTGACATTTAGGGAGACTTAGAGCAGGGAAGATGCTATTTCCTGAAAATAAATCATTATTTGTACCCCCTTTCCACTCATCCCCAAGAGACTGCCCAATTCTACATCAACTAAGACCTTCAAGAGAGGACAGTTTTCTTTTTTTTTTTTTTGAGACGGAGTCTCACTCTGTCACCCAGGCTGGAGTGCGGTGGCGCAATCTTGGCTTACTGCAAGCTCTGCCTCCCAGGTTCACGCCATTCTCCTGCCTCAGCCTCCCGAGTAGCTGGGACTGCAGGCGCCCGCCACCACGCCTGGCTAATTTTTTGGTTTTTTAATAGAGACAGTGTTTCATTGTGTTAGCCAGGATGGTCTCGATCTCCTGACCTCGTGATCTGCCCGCCTCGGCCTCCCAAAGTGCTGGGATTACAGGCATGAGCCACCATGGCCGGCCTGAGAGGACAGTTTTCTAACCCTAGTGGCAAGGACTTACTGTTGTAAGTGACCCCAATGGTTCTTCCCAACTGTTGTATAGATTTGGAGGCCAGCAAAGAGCTTTTCCAGTGGGTTAGAAGACCTGTTCTCTACTGTCATCAAGAGTCTGACCATCGTTTGTTCCCTCTCTCCAGAGAAATGGCACACATTGTGTTAAGCAAGGCAGCTACAGTCCTAAAGAATACATGTGCCTCAGATGTGCATAGCAGCTGGCTATGTGTTCATCCTCCCCTCACTTAAATAAAGTACTCCTCCTTGGACCTCTAGGCTGACAGTTCCAGGCAGCTCGGTAGTCCCATTAGTGGCCCTCTGTAACTCAGGCCCCATCCTAGCCCTGCAGCACCTTAGGGAATGACGGCCCTCCTGTTTGGTTTAGAATGCTCATATTCTCATTTATTCAAGTATATTTCAGTTGCAAATGTATCTGTTAACTGGATGAATTGGGAACATAATGAAAATATGAACTGGATTTTTAAAATCTTTGTATCCAGAGCATCTAGTGTTTGCCTAAATTCCTTCAGAACACAGTCATAAACAGGAAGCCCTTGGGTCAAATTCAGTTTGTCCTGCACAATGTTTTGTTTCTGAACTGTTTATTGAAGTGTATGTTACCAAAAAAAAACATATCATAATGGTACAACTCAATTAATTTTTACAAAATGACCCCAATCAAGAAATCCCAGCCTCACACTCCATTCTCATACATCCAGAATCCCTCCTCTTACTCCTCAAGTCACAGCCTGAGTTCAGCACCATAGGTTATTTCCTGAACTTTATATAAATGGAATCATACTGTGCATTCTCTTTTGCATCTGGCTTTTTTCATTCAGTGACATGCTTTTGAGATCCATTCGTGTCATTGTGATACACAGTAGTTCATTCTTGTCACTGTATAGTATTCTCATACATGAATAAGCCACAAATTGTTTATATATTCAACTAGATTAATTACCTTTTGGAGAGGTACTATGAACGTTCCTCAGTCTGTCATTTGGGGGTCATGTGTATGTATTTTTGTTAGGTGAAATTGCTGTATTTAAAAATAAGATTTCAACTTCTCTTTAAAAATTAGGCTTTCCCAGTCTGTGATTTCTGGTTTTGCATGGCAACTGTTGTCTCTGGGACTTGTGTTTTTCTCTTCTATACTCACAGGATGTTGTCCACGTCACCCACCCAAGGCACTCCTCAGTCGAGTTGCCTGCATGGCCTTTCTGGGTGCAGTTTTGCCTCCCATATCTAGAGAGTTGAGAGGCAGTTCCTGTAAGATTGTGTTTCTAAAGATATGTTACAGCTACTTTTCCTTCTCCCCACTGTGAGACTTAAGCTAGTCTTCCTCTGATATTTTGCTTCGATCTTTGGTCAGAGGGCCTAGGGAAAGAAATAGGCCCTGGAATAAGATGCTGGGGTTAGGGGTAGTATATTTGGCTTATTCACTCTGTTCTGCAGATAATGTGGTAAAGGTGCAGGCCTCAGGCACAACCCTCCACCATCTTGGGGCTGTGACATGGAAAGCTTTGCCTCACATTTGCCAGAGATGGTGCAGCAGGCACGAACGTGCCATCTGGGAAGAAACTGGAGTTTATCTCCACCCTTTTCCAGGTTATCATTCCAAATGAAACAGTGTACCTCTTCTTCCCTCAAGTATTGTGAAGAGAAAAATCTTCCATTTTTGTTTCCTAAAGGGGTCCTATGGAGGGGACCTAGTTCTTTTCTCCATGCTTTTTAAATTGTTTTATTTTTGCCTCATTGAGCCTTAGTCTAAATATTGAAGAACTAGTTGCATTATAACAGTATATTTAGGAATCACAAGTAATTTACATGTTGCAAACACAAAGATAAATTACAAAATTGAAAAAGTAATATTCTCAGTACTGACAGTTTATGAATAAAAATATTGATTGCCATAAAAGGAACTTTAATGCAAATTTATTTTCCTTTGGCCTTATATATGCTAACCATCGTGAAAATAAAAATAAATTGCCTAATCTAAGCTCTCGTATGATTTCTCACACCCTTTCTAGAACTTCTCCTGGTCTAGACATGGACAACAGTGGTCAAAGTCCAAACACAAATAAGAACAGGGGAGGACCTTGGAAACTGTCTCATGCAAATAAAAGATTGATTGATTGACAGAGTCTCACTCTGTCACCCATGCTGGAGTGCAGTGGTACAATCATACCTCAAACTCCTGGGCTAAAGCAATCCTCCCATCTCGGCCCCCCAAAGTGCTGAGATTACAGGTGGGAACCACCTGCACACAGCCCAAATGAAAAGGTTTGATAGGTGAGGCAGGAGCTATAGGAGCAGCATGTGTCAGGAGTATATTGTGGGGCACACACACACCTGCCAAAAAAGTAGGCAGTTTGAATTTTCTGATGTTCTTTTGCCAGTCTGTGGTGTCCTTCACATTCTAAATGAATTGGAATAGATTGTACAATGTTCTTTTATAGTAGTAGCTACAAGAAAGGCCGTCCACCAATCCATTCATTCAACAAATAGTGTAAGTGCTATGGAGAGAAGCAGGATAGGGGTGGGGGTGTCAAGGGTGCCCTCCCTGTCAGGTGACAGTCACAAGACCTGAGGGCTGTGAGGGAGTTAGCCGTGCCATGCAAACACCCACTTTAAGAATGTTCTAGGCCACTGAATTCTAGGATGTAAATATGCATAACATAGGGTTTTTTGTATAGTAGATGCTTAAAAAAGCTTCTGTGAAGGGATAAGTGATTAAGATTTCATGAGTTTTAATGTTCAAGTGTCCCTCATGGTGGACTAGGCACTTCGGTTTCTAATGAACTTATTTTATACTGTAGGTTGTGACCCAGGGGCAGTATTCAACATGCAGATTGTTTGGAGCATATAGTATTTTTAAAAACCAGGACATTTGATATCGAAGTCCAAATTTACAATGTATTTGGAAAAATATGAGCTGGAAAAACTGACCCTGATGTCCTATGTAGCAGCAATTTGCTGAGCACGTAGGCCCTCCATGGTTCTCTGCTGCCCTGACCTCCTCTTACCCTCTCCTCACAGCTCTTCCTGTTGCAGGGACTGGCTTCTGCTGTGTCATGTGGCTGAGCTCACTCTGTCATCCTACTTGAAGTTTCTAGTTCTGAAAAATGAATTATAATAAATTGTCACTAAATGTTCATTCCGTTGAATTTATGAAAAATGAAGGACTTATACAATTTTGTTTATTATATTTTGCATGTGTCAATTTTTTTTTTTTTTTTTGAGACGGAGTCTTGCTCTGTCACCCAGGCTGGAGGGCAGTGGCACAATCTCAGCTCACTGCAACCTCCACCTCCTGGGTTTAAGCAATTCTCCTGCCTCAGCCTCCTGAGTAGCTGGGATTACAGGTGCAGGCCACCACGCCTGGCTAATTTTTGTATTTTTAGCAGAGATGGGGTTTTGCCATGTTGGCCAGGCTGGTCTGGAGCTCCTGACCTCAGGTGATCTGCTCGCCTCGGCCTCCCAAAGCGCTAGGATTACAGGTGTGCACCACCACACCCAGCTGTGTCAAATATTTTTAATGAATGTCTGAAGTCAGTTTGCTTTGAGGAATCTGTACAAGTAATGGTTTTGTTTTAAATAAATTTCTTACCTCTTTCCACTGAGCAGACCTGAGAGCAGTGAGCACATCTGGTTTCCAGATCTGTGTTTCTAAATACTGTTTCCCACTAAGGGAACCAGGACTCCTTGGAGAAATGGCCCACAACAGGTCTGGGCCAGAGAAGTAAAGGTTTCTGAAAAAGCTTTCTTGTACCAAGAAGTGTGAAAGTTTGCAGAGTTTACCAAGGACTCAGAAAAGGAACATAGAAGCCACCATGAAGGGGCAGTTTGAGCATCTCAAAAAGAATAAAAACTGGATTATAACACATACAATACTAAATCCTTTTTATAATAACAGAGAAAAGAGGGTTAAAAGGATCAGAGTTTTTCCTTACAGAAGAATGTCAACTAATGAATGCAGAAGGAATAACAGAAAATCACCACAGTGAAACCTCCAATATAATAATTGATTTAAGGAAAGATAATCAAGGGAAGCTAAAACAATTAAGTCAGCATCAGCAACACAGTGAGATCCTGTCTCTACAAAAAATAAAATAGAACAGACATGGTGGCACACACCTATATATGGTGGCACACACCTATAGTCCCAGCTACTGGGGAGGCTGAGGTGGGAGAATCACTTTTGGCTGGGAGGTGGAGGCTTCAGCAATCACACCACTGCACTCCAGCCTGGGTGACAAAGCCAGACCCTGTCTCAAAAAATAAATAAACATATAAAACCATTAAGTGAAAGTTTGCTCGATAGCAAGAAACTGTACTTTGAGTACCCATACAACCATTGTGTTTTTCACTTTCAGTACAGCATTCAGTAAATTACTTGAGCTAGTCAGCACTTTATTATAAAATCAGCTTTGTGTTAGATGATTTTGCCAACTGAAGAATAATATAGTATTCTGAGCACATGTATCTAGCTTAGGCCGAGCTATGACATTAGATAAAGTTTAGATGTATTAAATGCGTTTTGACCTATGATATTTTCAACTTACGGTGGGTTTATCAGGGTGTAACCCATCATAAGTCAGGGAACATCTGTATTATTCATTGGTGAATATAAGTGAAGGGTATGTAGATGCTCATTGTGAACTTAAACTTTTCTGTGGCCTTGAAAATATTACCAAATAAAGGGGGAATAAATGCTAAATAATTGGAGCAGATAAGGCAGTTTGCCTTAAATTAACTTTAACTCTTTGATTTATCCTTCACTCTAGTGAAATATTTACCGCCAAATTTATTTTAAGTTAATTAAGATGTTACGTTAGACAGGGATTCTTAACTTGGGTATATGAATACTTAGAGAATTTGTGGAAAGACTTTATGAGTCTTTTGATACATGCCAAGTGTTTTTATCTATGTATTTTTCTGCATAGAGGATCCATTATAGCTTTCACCATATTTTCTAAGGGGTCCATCCTTCAAATAGTTAAGAACTGCTGCCCTAGAATAGATTTACAGTTTATAATGTATTCTTTATTCCTAGTGTCACAATACTAGTTAAATTCACTTTCCAAATGATTCACATATAAATTTGATGTTTGTGAATGTAATTCCCAGTTTAGGCAAAACAATGAACCTTCAGCAGATTACAACTTATAAAAAGATTTGCTTATATCAATTGATAGTTTAATGTAAGTTTATTTGACCACAGAGATTCTGTTACTTAGAAACACACCAGGACATTTTAATAACATGATGTATTCCTTTTCTTTTCCAAACTAATATGTATTTAGTGTAATCACATGTTATTTTTAATACAGTCCTGCTTTCCCTTGTGTGGATTCACATTCTTCACATTTTATACAAAGGAAAAAATATGCTAGACTAAGTTTTGATTTTATCCATTTTCATACAGAAAAGGGAACATAACTTCACAGAAGAAATGGTCATGCCTTTATGATTTAGTTGTATCACCACTAAAGTTTACTTACTGAGTTTAGAACATTTATTCCTTTACAAATAACAGTATGTGACAGACTGAAATCCAGCCGGGCTTACAGTCTCGAATGCTCCTGTTCACCTTGTAGACATGTCATAAGCTGAAGCCTTATTTAAGACATGTAGAATCAAACATGGACTAATTCAGGATTACACAGTTTACAGTAGATTTTCCTCTGAAAACCTTTTACAAATGCCTCTGATTCTGTTGGACTAGTTTCAATTGAGCTGATGGTCGTAGGGCCAGAAATGAATAGGAAAGGAACAAACTTGCTAGGGAAGCCTCTGCCCAAAGTTTGCTATGTGGGCTACAGATGGAAAGGCCTGGGTTTGCCAGTGCAGACTGTCTTGCTATACTGTTGGTGACTCATTCAGCGGTTATTTCTAAGGGAAGAATTCATTTATAGGACAGGCTCATTGATCAGATACTTCTCTAGTTTGGCTGACTGTTTTAAATACAATTTTCCCCCTTTTTAGGTATTATAAGTAATCACAGTGAATCACACAGATCAAACTTAATTGTCTTTCCTATGGTCAGGATTTTTTTTTTTAATCTTATGATGAGATGTCATTTACACTCTTTGAGTTCCAGTTTCCTCACCCACTTGGCTCCCTCAGCCTGGAGATCCTGCTCAGATGTTCGTGTATACCATGGTTCACTCTGTTCCGTGCCATGGACATGATCATACAGTAACACAGAAGAAAGGCAGTCAAACTCAGGTTTTGTTGTTAATTTCCCACCTACTCCTCAGGAGAGCCACGCTGTTGCCAAGGCTGCAGGGTCCCCGCTGGACCCCCACTGGCCCACAGAGTCCAAGGGGTTTACTTCTGGCCCTTTACAGAGCATGTGTGCAGAGCCCTGTCTTAGTGTATTAGACCCACTCCTTTTTCCACTATATTCAATACCAATCTAAGAAATCAGTTATTTTAAATAATTAATATTCACCACACTCAGAGGCCTGGAAGCCTTGAGCGAGTTAAGTAACTTCCTGCTCACCAGTTTCCTGTAGTCTGTCCCTGGAAACATTGACACTCACCTTTATTATGTCTACCCTGTGCCCAGCACCTCCACAGGATATCAACTTGTTTAGTCTTCCCATCAGCCCTGGGAGGCAGATGTTGTTTCCTGATTTTGTGCACGAAGAAACTAGAACTCTAAGTAACTTGGCCAGGTCCATGGCTAGTACTGATTCTAGTTGAGAGCCAAGATACTCATTATTGTTTTTTTAACTACAAGAGATGAATCTCCATGTTTCACAGACTTTGGGGGCTTAAGGCCTGTAATGGTCATTTGGTGTTAAGTTAGAGCTGGGCAGAAACTTCTTTTCATGGGTACTTTTAATATTTTTGAATTTTAAGTCTATCAAGGATCTGAATTTACGTTCAACCATGGATAGATAAATAGTTCAGTCATCTGTCAGTCTGTAAATGTTTCTGCCATGAGGACATTTTCTATCCTTTTTCTAAATAAGGGAAAGAGGTGGAATCAATATCATAAAGGGTTTTACTCCGCCCTTTGGAAGTTTCACTTCAACAGCAGAATTTGAGTATTTCATTCTTTTAAGTCAGCATCTTAGGAACATAGTAATTTATGGTATGTTTAAATGATGGCTTTGGAAGGCATAGTCAGTGTTGCTATTATGCAGAGCAATCAGATTGATTACTAAGTATTACCAGTTGTCAAAGCATAACTTAATTGTTTAAAAAATTTACTTAGCTTTCTGAGGTCCTTGTCAGAAATGTTAATAACATAAATGATTCCCTTTTACTTTTGTGACCCTGTATAAATCTTTTTCTGCTCAGTTTCTAAGTTTTTCTGTGAAAATCCTTAAATTTTGCAGGTTCCTTTCTTTTTTATTTAGGAGTAATGTCAACTTTGGATAATATCAACTCTTTGGGTAATATAACTCATAAGCTGAACCAGTTTTGACTGGGAGATAAAGGAGATGGAACTCTTTATTCAAGAGACGTTTTAGCACCTACTTTGCACAAATTCAGGGGTTTAAGAAATGAGTTGTCTCTGTTAAGTTTTACAGTCTTTTTGGAGAAACAAGCTATACCGCTCAACCCAGCTACTGTACAGCACCCATATACACAAAAAAGTAATCAATACCTAACTAATAATTCCAGATAATCATTATGTAGGACCTAACTAATAACACTAAAGAGATAATCACTACAGACCTACCTAATAATACCAGATCTGTCCTGGGTAGCGGCACAGGCACTGAATAGCGGGGGTTTTGTGGGGCTGGGGGTCCTGAGGAGCTAGGCTTTTAGGTGCAGTTCATCCTGTGCTTGGAAGCTGGCTCTGTAAGGTGAAAGGCTCAAGTCAGATGGACACTGCAGTGAACTTGGCTTCTGTGTCCCTCCCTTGAAGTTGAGGATCGGAGCCCATCAGAGATTGGCTCAACTGCCCTTCTCTTGTAGGCCCCTTCAGGTATACTCCTTGCCTGTGCATTCAGCTTTGACCTCATACCTTCCCGTCTTTACTGTCCTCTCCTTGTCTTGCCTGACCCCCATGGTGACACCCCAAGTTCAGCATTCTCTCACAGATGGCCCCTGGCTCTCAACTTCTTAGCAGCATTATGAGAATCAGAGCAGTTTCTTCTTTGGTCCCTTTTCTGTGTGCCCCTTATCTGACAAGATAACTATTCACTGAATTCCTTTTGATGTCTCTCGTATCTGTGCTGTGAAGGCTCTCACTCTCTAGATTTTTGCAGTGAGTAATTCTTTTTCCTTTCTTAAACTGCTGCTTTCATGGAACACTTCTTGCTTCAGCATTTTTCAGTGGTATGCTGCATTTCTCATCGCCTTGAATCTGGTCTAATTCCTGGCCTGAGGAGCCCTCGTCTTGCCTCTCCTTTCCTGCCATAGTGAGGCTAGACTCCTGACCAATAAGCCCAGACGTGAGTCCCTCCATCTGCTTCCCTCACTGATTCACATTCCTGTTTCAAGGTCCATTGATCTTTCTCCTCTGAACTACGTGTATGTGTTGTATGGTTTAGTGTTAATTATATCCTGTATTATATCACAGTCATCTTCTGTTACTCCCCACCTAAATTAGTAAAATTAGAGAAACCATTTTTGCCTGAAGCACTATGCCTAACACAAATATGCTGCCAAAAATTTGGGGTTTTATCCTTTAGCTATATACCTGTAATTTGTGGCTTAAATTTTCATATACTTATGCCGAGTCTAAAATAATCTTAAAACAAACATTGTCATAATTTGTTAACATTTCCAAGTCACTTTAAAGATTTATACTACATATTATTAAACAGTTACTGGAATAATTATGTGTGAGTGGGAATAATCGTCTTGATGACCCCTGGAGGTGTCCGTGACAACTAGAGGACACTGTGCATATTTCAACTGTACAACATTGTGGGTAGTTTCTTTGTGTTTTAATGAAAGCAGTCATCTTACGGAGTAATTAACTTTGACTTAATGAGAATGGCTTCTAAGGAGATGTACGTGGAGCCATTTGATGATGCCATTTGAAGGAGAGGTGGTTTTGAGTATCTTTCTCCCCTCGTTGGTAACACCTGCCATACCACATGCCCTATACCCTCCGGTTGAGCATCAGCCGCCCAGGTTCGGACCTTTTATTAGGCAGCCTGCCACTCTTGGGTCCCCTAGACTTTCCATCCAAATTCTAAGGGAGAGACAGCTTGGTTCAGCAGGAGGAGCACCAGCCTCAGAGTCAGAAGATGCAGGGGAAGTCCAGACTCAGCCACATATTCCCTGTTGTTCTCATGTGCCACCTGCCCTCACTGAGCCCCAGCATCATCACCTGCCCTGCAAGGAGGTTGGTGAGCTTGCAGCACTGTGCTCGTTCCTACAGAAGCTTGTCGACTAGCCATTTAAGGCGGTCAGGGGCCCAGCAGTCTGCTCAGGGCTAATCTCACCCCACTGCACTGGTGCTCAGAAGGAAAAACAGGCAGCCTCTTCCTAAGGCCAAGCCTCTTCAGCCTGGATGCTCCAGGAATGTAGCTGGAGCTGGAGAAAGGGAAGAGAAGGCTGCATGTTCTTGATGGATTTTAAAACCTAGTGTGTCATTTAGATAGTACCTAGTTTGTTGATTGTAAGAAGAAAAGGGGGATGGGAGTGAACACTTTCTGATGAGAGCAAAGCTGCTTTGTTTGAAGAGAGAGGTCTGTTCACTTCCTTATCAGTGACATGAAACCCCTAATGAACCCTGTCTGAAAACCACTGATCTGTTCCAAACATGTTATTTTATAATTGAATCAAATGAATCCCAAAGAAGTAAAATGACTGCATAATTATTGAAGAACAAGATGGGCTCCCAAGTCTCTTGGTTCCTGGTGTAGTTATTTCATTATACCAGGTTCTGTATGTCTTTCACTAAATAATTTCTTTAGTGCTGCTTATAATATTCTTATTGATAATAAGCCAAATCTCAAAATTATACTGTTCCTTGTATATATATACAAAGACAAGACACACCATTAATATTTTTAGATCATGGCTAGACCAGGACTTCTTTAGTGTATATGTGTGTTAGTAATTATAGTGTAATTTTTGAAGCCAAACAGAACATCTGTTTTTTAGTACATTATATTGTGAAGAGTGTTTGCTATAAGGACATTTATCACTTTTTTATGGAATTAAAACTTCCCATCTAGAACATCATGAAATTTCAGGGCTGAACAAGTTCCATGCTAGCCATATTTTAAAAATTATAAAATCAGTAGAAATAAGTACAACTTCCACTTAAGAAAAAAGCTTCAATCAGTCATTCTGATTTTCATTTTTTTCTTGGGATTCTGCAGCCAGAGCAGAGTTGAGAAGCGACATACACAGCAAGCCCACAGTGCGTCTGCTCCACAGGCACCGGTCTGGATCTGCTGTTAATCCAGGCCGTTGAGGGTGGCCGTAGTCTCCTGGCGGCCCTCAGGCCCCAGTGTGCTCGTCGCATTGTCACCCATTTTTCTGACTGCACAGCACTTGCCTGCTTACTTGTCTGTTTGATTTCCTGCTTATTGCCTCTACCAGAGAGGAAAGGCCACATCTGATCTGTTTGTCACTGTCTCTAGAACAGCATCTGAAACACAGCTGAATAAAGTCAGAGTAAGAAATGAATGAATGAATCGTTTAGTATCTGTCTCTGTGTCATCCCAAGATGCTAGTTCTGCTGACTCACCTTATTCAGTTTGAGCCCCCTTTAATACTAATTTTGTTTACAGCTTAGATTGCCTTAAACCATTTATGTCAATGTGTTTATATTCATACATCAATAAGTGTTGCACAAGGGTTGTTAAATGGATGTGTAACCCTATCTTCTTGTTTTTACCTGTCTCTTAAAGTCAACCTGGCCACTTTAAAATTAGTAATGCACCTTCATTCCTAAACTGATTATGAAGCTCAACTTTTGTTCCATAAAATTCTAGTTTTCTTCCTAACAACCTGCTATAAGTCTTTGACTCTTGAGTCTAACAGTTATCTTCATATTATTATTGTTGTTCATGTTATAATCTCTGAATCCTACCTATTAAGAAAGTAGGCTTAGAAGTAACATTATGGAATAAGTCTTGCCTGGTGCAGTGATTCATGTCTATAATCCCAGCACTTTGGGAGGCCGAGGCGGTCTTATCACAAGGTCAAGAGATTGAGACCATCCTGGCCAACATGGTAAAACCCCATCTCTATTAAAAATACAAACATTAGCGGGGAGTGGTGACGCATGCCTATAGTCCCAGCTACTCAGGAGGCTGAAGCAGGAGAATCGCTTGAACCCAGGAGGCAGAGGTTGCAGTGAGCCGAGATTGCACCACTGCACTCCAGCCTGGCGACAGAGTGACACTCCGTCTAAAAAAATAATAATAATAACATTATGGAATAAGTCAAACTTTTCACACTCATGAAACTGAAAGTCACCCATGAAATTGTCAATTGTGGTTGGCTATGCTGGTTCCTCTCAGTTTTATATGAGATAATAACTGCATTCATCATCCACACCATACTTTCCAAAATGCTTTACATTCTTTTCTAGTTCTTATAATAGCTTTGTGAAGTGGGGATGGAAGGTTCCTAGAGTGGTGAAAGAACTATTAAATGATTAAATAACTAAAGCTTAAAAAATTAGAGAAACCTATGCAATGAGGCCAACACTGGCACTTAAGTTCCTAGCCAAGACATAAAACTGAGAGTAACAAAAGAAGTCAACATAGTTTCTATATGTGTCTTATAAATTACTTTAGCAATACAAAGATAAAAATCATTATGTTAGAAAATTTTAATATATGATTTTGGTAGGGCCAATACATAGTAAAGACATAGCTTTATTTCAATTGAACCGAATAAAATGATGTATTTCAGTAAATTAAGGCAAAGGAGATAGATGCTATGACCAGTGGTGCAAAATTTTTCAAAAATTTATACATTAGATTTACCTTTACAAGGTTATAGTCAAGAATAATTAATTTGTATTTTAAGCAAACTCTACTGCTTTTCAAAAAATGTCTTAATCTTGAGTGAGGAATAGTGAAGGTAATCTTAATATACTGTTTAACTTTAAAAAATAATTTTAGAATTATAGAAAAGTTTCAAAAAGAGTATAGAATTTATGCACACCCTTCTGCCAGCTTTCCTTAATGTTAACAATGTACATAACCATAATATGATTTTCAAAACCAGGAAATTAACATTACAGTAGTGTTTTAATTTTACACATGTAATTAATGGAAGAAATGAAAGCTACCCCAATATTCAGTTATATTTATACCAGTAATTATAGCACAGGACCTTATAAGAAATTAACAAATTATTGTTTTAATAATAAACAACACTTATTCATAAATTCTGCCTGCTTTTTTTGTTGTCATTATGCTTCTTAATCTTGAACCAAAAGATACATAATTTTTAAAGGGACTTACAGAGTTCTCAGCTAACACCAGTATTCAAGTTGATTATAAAGGCTGTGTTTATTTTGTTCCAGACTCTTCTGGTCTAGCTCAGTATGCATAATATCCTATTCTAGTGAGATGGCCTCTTTCTAGAGGTAGGAAACTGAGAGATTTTACCTTTACTATTAATAAAACTCCTAGAGACTATACCTTTTAGGTATATTTTGGTTGTTCATCTGTGTGTTAGTGAATCAGGTTGACTAGCATATAATGATACTGAGTATAACAGGAGGATTATGTCTCTCTTATTAATGACAAATGCAGCTACTACAAATACATGAGTAAAGTTTATAAACAGCAAAGGAAAACTTGGAATTACTTGATGTTTTGTGGTTTAAGAACGATACTTGAGTATGATCTTATGCATGAAAATGTGTAAGATGGTATTTCTCTAATTTTAATATAATTGTTTTCAAGATGAAGATGTTCCAGATTTGAGTCATCATCCTCTTCAGCATTGCAAATTTCTTCTGGAAGAATGTTCCTAAGGAAAAATAGACATGCAAGTCACACATGGTCCCAGTAATAATCTGCCTTTAGGAGTTAAGTTTAACATTTGTTAAAAAAATTTTGTTCTTAAAATAAAGTTGGATCCTTATAGACCAGAATAAATTCCAACTACGTCAGAGATTCAAATGTGAAAGATGAAGCCATAGAAGCACTAGAACAGACTGTGGTCACACCCTCTGACTCGGGAGATTCTTTCTGTATGTGATTTGAAAACCAGAAGCACTGAATGAAAAGATTTAAAATTTACTGCAGGTTTTAAAAAGAAAGTGCAAAGTTAAACAACATGACAAAGAAGGAGAAAGTAACTTATATCGCAGATACAAAGGCTTCCTAAGAATCTAGGAGGAAAATGGAAAATGCTCAGTTTCATTCAGAAGAGAAATGTAAATTGAAACTTTACTGGCATACCACTTTTTATTTATAAGGTTTGCAAAAAAAAAAAAAAATCCAGAAGCTCATTAACATATTCTAATAGTGAGCCTGGACCGATCAAATACCACTGAAGAGAATGCAAAATGGTGCGCCACCTCTGGAGAGGAATTTGGCAATATCTAGTAAAATTACATACACACTTTACCCTTTGCACTCTGCATTCCCACTCCTAGGATTTTATCCCAAAGTTAAACTGGAAAAAAACAAAATGACATTTATACAAACTTATCTTTTGTGGCATTATTTTTAGTAGTAAGAGTGGAAACACATGTCTATCAATACGGAACTGATTGAATAAAATATAGTATATCTGCATAATATTCAGTTGTGAAAAGGAATGAAGAAATTCTCTACATACTGATGGGGAGTGATATACTGATACTTTTAAAAAGTAAAGGGTAGGCTGGGCGTGGTGGCTCACACCTGTCATCCCAGCACTTTGGGAGGCCAAGGTGGGTGGATCACCTGAGGTCAGGAGTTCAAGACCAGCCTGACCAACATGGAGAAACCCCGTCTCTACTGAAAATACAAAATTAGCTGGGCATGGTGGCGTATCCTTGTAATCCCAGCTACTTGGGAGGCTGAGGCAACAGAATTGCTTGAACCTGGGAGGTCGAGGTTGCAGTGAGCTGAGATCACGCCGTTGCACTTCTGCCTGGGCAACAAGAGCAAAACTCTGTCTCAAAAAAAAAAAAAGAAAGAAAGAAAAAAGAAAAAAAGGGTAGAAAAAATACACATACCCCATAAGGTTTGGTTTTTTTGACCCCTCCAAATCTCATGTTGAAATTTGATCCCCAGTGTTGGAGGTGGTGCTTAATGGGAGGTGTTTGGGTCATGGGGGGCAAGTCACTCATGAATAGATTGATATCCTCTCTAGGATCAGGGGAGTGAGTAAGTTCTTGTTCTATTAATTCCCATAAGAGCTGGTTGTTTAAAAAAAAAAAAAAAAAAAGAAGTCTGGCACCTCCCCATTCTTTTTTGCCTCCTCTCTTGCCATGTAATCTCTACACACTCCATCTCCCCTTCCACCATGAGTGGAAGCAGCCTGAAGGCCCTCACCAGATGCAGATGCCAGTGCCGTGCTACTTGCACAGCCTGAAGAACCATGAGCCAAATAAACCTTTTCTCTTTATAAATTACCCAGCCTTGGGCATTACTTTATAGCATCAGAATTGGACTAAGACATATATAGAGAGAAAACTGCCCTTTTGTGTAATAATTTGTATAATAATTATGGATGGGGATGGGGAAATATGTATATGTATGTAGGCTTTTGTTTGCAAAAATAAATACTGGAAGGATAAACTAGAAATTTAAAAATTTAACCTATGGGAAGGATCATATAGTGTATAAAAGACAATCATAGACGTTGGGGGAGGGATAGCATTAGGAGGTATACCTAATATTAAATGAAGAGTTAATGGGTACAGCACACCAACATGGCACATGTATATATATGTAACAAACCTGCACGTTGTGCACATGTACCCTAAAAGTATAGTAAAAAGAAAATATATATATATTAAAAAAAGACAATCATAGAAGTAAGACTTCTCTTAATTCAACTTCTTACACAGTTTTGACTTTGGAATTAAAAATATTTAACACAGTCAAAAATAATATTAATTCAAAAAGAAAAGAGCAATTTCTAAAAACCAAAAATAAACTAAATAACATGTCTGAATATTAAGTTGTTGACATATTACAGAGGAAACCACTGTATTTCAGCTGTACTTCTTTAGTGGAACTTATCCTAAAGACAAATAGAGCTACCAAAAAATAATAAACTTCAAGCTTTTATTATGAGCAGTAATAATGATGTCATTTTGAAACAATTGTTTACATATTGTAAGATCATCCAAGTTAATATTGTTGGGAACCTAGATTTTCAGTGTAAGAGAAACAAGTTTTAATAAAAGGAATTAATATTCAATTATGTTAAATTTGATTTGGGAATGTCAGTCTGAACTTACTTTCTTTTCAAAATACGGAATTTCCTGGCAGTCCACTGAAAGGCCTCAAAACAATAGCAACACAATTGAAAGGACCACGTCTCGTTCCCACTTGGGGCTTCTCAATACTATTCCCCAAAGAAAGAGGCCAAGCTCTTTGGAGGAAGGTCTGCAGTAGGTAATGCAGAAAGTAAGCCTGAGGCCCACGTGTGCCCAAAAGCAAGTGAGCAGACACAAGAGCCAGTTTGAATGGCGACCATTGTCCAGATGACTGCAATTGATTGAAACATAACTGCTTACATGAAAGCCTAAGTATATATTGATTCACCAGAAAAAGAGAGAACCCTAAAACAAAATAAAGCAAAAACATTCAGGCTCCAACTTCTTACTCCCACTGGTGGTTTAAAGGAAAGAACTGAGCTTTTTTCTTTCCTTTCAAAGTGACAAAGCAGCCCTAGTTGATGAGCAAAAAATTTTTTACAGAGGAATTCCAGCTAATGAGCATGAGAAGCATGGCAAAAATAGAAATTCATCATTTTGTTACCTCTAATGAAATAAGAATTCAAACAACATTCATCTGTGAGTGAAACCATTGGTTCAATGATGGAGGAGTAAATTTGTCTTAGGAGATACCAGGCTGTGACCACTTCAATCCAGTGATCAATTTTAGAATCAAAAAAGGTGGGACAAACATTAGACGCCTTCTGATGCAATGCAGTATGAAGCATATGGCACAACCTGTGAAGTATTTTTGCCAAAAAATTTTGAAACTGAATTTTACAAAGTCTTCCCAAACCCCCATCTCTTCCTCCAGTACCTTTAAAAACACGAACTTTTCTGTGTTTTTGTTTTGTCTTTGTAGGCATTTAGTTTATTTGGACTTTTAGAGAAGGGGAAAGACTAAGAGGCATAATTCTCAGGGACAGAACAACAAGGTTATTGTCTCCCTCACTGCCAATGATAAAGACCTTACTAACAAAATATTCTGGATTAATTCTCAAGACACTCATGCCATCTAGGCAGGAGTGATGATTCAGTATATAAGCTGAACACATGCAGAAAAATGTGTTCCCAAAAGTAGGGAAAGTGAGTCTTAATAAATGTATTCAGAAATCTGACTTCAGAAAAAACTAGATAGAAGCAGTTTTAATTTTAGCATATATTTACGTTTTATGCTTTATAGATTAGTTTTATTTATTTATACATGGAGGTAGGAGTAGTAACATAATCTATTGCTTTGAAGACTCATTTGAACCTCTCTCTAAAGTTCTAAGTGTTATATATAATAATCTGTTAATCTTTTTTTTGAGATGGAGTCTCACTCTGTCACCCAGGCTGGAGTGCAGTGGCACCATCCCGGCTCACTGCAACCTCTGCCTCCCAGGTTCAAACAATTCTCCCACCTCAGCCTCCTGAGTAGCTGGCATTACAGACACGCACCACCACGCCCTGCTAAGTTTTGTATTTTTAGTAGAAACGAGGTTTCACCATGTTGGCCAGGCTGGCCTCAGACTCTTGAACTCAGGTGATCCGCCCGCCTTGGCGTCCCAAAGTGCTGGAATTACAGGCGTGAGCCACTGCACCTGACCAAAAGATGTTTTAACTATGGAAATTTATAAACATGTGCAAAAGTAGGAAAAGCTTATAATGAATCCTCACATACCTGTCATCCACCTTTGGTAATTACTAACATTTGCCAATCTTGTTTAATCCAACCCCTTAGCACCATTTTTTTTTCCCTTAACGTAAATCCCAGAGATCATGTCATGGTTGTTTTATCATATATTTTGCCAACCAAAATTTAAACAGATACTTGAAAAAGCCAAAATTTACCGTATCTTGTTGTTGTTCAGCCTCAGAAAATGTAGTGCTTTCATTTCTTGTATCCCAGGTGGTATAGATTTTAAGTCATTGTGATCCAGAAATAATTCTCTCAGAGAATGATATGCCCCATAGAAGGAGACACGGTCCATGCCATCATCAGCAAGTTTGTTAAATGACAGGTACAAGTATTCCAGGCCTGGTTCCATGTGGCCAAACACATAGCCAGGGATCCGTTCAATCTGGTTCCCAAGGAGTACTAGGTGCAGCAAGGACTTGGGTAGATAGGACGGGACGTGATAGAGCTTGTTGTAGGAGAGATCAATGGATTCTAGATTTCTGCAGCAAAGAAAAAAGTAAACAGGGTAGGGACATCAGGATGGTGATCATCAGCTCTAAATTTTGATAAGGCCAGTCTCGATGCTGGTCCATTTTCCTATAAGCACCCAGTTTGTAGTGATGATTCCAAATAGGAACTTTTCCAGGTATAGCCAGCCCTAGTCTCTTGCACCAAGCTGCATGTCCTTACCAGGGTGCCATACTGCCTCCCAGCTATGTGAGTCCATGCGAGAGGAGCATCAAAGACTAGGAGGGAAAAACTCATATCCCTAGAGGCAATACTGAGGCCCAAAGACTAAAATATCTGTACGGTTGATGCGTTGAATCCAAAATGAAATCCCGTGAATCCCAGCATGCATCTAAATGCCTATCTGTAAAGTTGTCTCTGGTTCCAGCAAGGAAGTTTGGTTTGTTTTGGCTTGTTTTGGTTCCCCTTCCCCTACATTTTCATTCCACATTTGATTTGATGACCTGGCACACCTGGGACTTGAGGCGAGCCTGAGGGAATCTAGAAAATGCTGTTAATCATCTAGAAGATCTGGGGAACGTGGTGAACTCACTGGCTTGTTTCAGGAACCCCACCTGAGTCTCCTAAGGCTTCTGCCCCACGCCCTCTTTTCACCTGATGAAGACTTCTCTGCCTACAGTGGGCTCAGTGCCACATGCTGCTGAGCCCAATTGGCCTCTCCATCCTGCTTCTGAATGACACGTGTCCCAGGCTGTGCTACTTAGGCACATAGTTCCAGGACACGCAATCCCAGATCCCAGTTGTCTGCTGGATTTGCTGCAGGGCTTGCTTCTGACTCCCTCCCCCTTCACTGAAAGCTATAGCCAGAGGCTGCTGATTCTTGTCCAGGAAGACAGAGTCTACTTTTGGCCTGCACTGTTAGGCCAAGCATTCTTCAGTCTATTTTGTAAGAGTTGAGGTGAAGAAATAGTTTGGAGAAAAGAAGGCTGTGTAGTGTAGGAGAACAGGCCTGGGCTCTGGAGCCTGGTGCTTCCACCTAATGATGATGAGGAGAAGGAGTATGGCAGATTTCTTTCTCACTGTGTGCAGGGGAATAATCCTTCATTCAAACCTCCTGACAACCTGTGAGGTAGACAGAGCTAGAGTGGCATTTGACCACTAGTGGGCAGACCTCGAAGTCAGACAGCTGGGGCTCAGTTCTTGCTAGCTCAGCACTTGGCATATGATAGGGTGTCCAGTATGCAGTATGGTGACAACAACAGTAGTTACTGCAATAATCCTAACACCAGTCATGCAGCGCACAGGTTGGAAACTGCATGAAGTAGCCCACTTTGGGGATAGGGTAAGGGTTCACTAAGAAACGATTCTGTCTCCGAGCCCTTCAGTATCGTCACCTCCCTCACTTATCCCATTCCCAGTTTCCATACTCTGTTTAATAATAGCGAGAGGAAGAAATAGTTCAATAAAATTTAAATTGTAGCATGTACTTACTCTTGATTTATCCAGGCTAAAGGAGCAATCCTATTTTCTTCAATTTTGTTATAACGTAGTACAATGACATTGATCTTTCTGGTATGATTGAAACAAATTTCAGTTATTTCTTCAATTTGGTTATTTTCTAGGTATAATTCCTATAATTAAGAGAGAAGACTATTATTTTTCTTTTGTGTTAGTTGATACGTTCAATTTCATGGAGACTAAAATAGTGACATAGACTATTATCATTAGTATTATCTAAAGAGTCTTACTGCTCTTTCAAGTAAGCTCATATTTTTAAGTTGTCTTTTTTTTTTTTTTTTTTTTTGAGACAGGGTCTCACTTTGTTACGCAGGATGGAGTGCAGTGGCACAAACATGGCTCACTGCAGCCTTGACCTCCCAGGCTCAAGTGATCCTACCACCTCAGTCCCACAAGTGACTGAGACTACAGGTATGCGCCATGAAGCCTGGCTAATTTTTGTATTTTTTGTAGAGACAGGGTCTCACCATGTTGCTCAGGCTGGTCTCGAACTCCTAAGCTCAAGTGATCTACCCGCCTCGGCCTCCCAAAGTGCTGGAATTACAGGAAAGTTGTCAAATTTTATAACTAATTAGTAAAATAAAACACACTGCCATGGTTATGGAATCAAATGAATTTTATTTAAAATGTATTAGCTATAATATGTTGCAAGAAATGGCATACCAAAATAATTATACAAGGCTCTCTATTTTATAAAACTTATTCACATAAATTATCTCATTTGGGCTTAAAAACTCTGAAAAGTAGACAGATATTTTAATCTCTACTTACCAGTGGAGTTAAGTTGGGCCTGGAGAGACAGGGAAGCCCACCCGTGGTTACATGACTAATGCTGAGAGGGGCTTGTCCTAGCCGAGCCTCCAGCTCCCAGGCTGCCTGTTTCCTACTATTTCATGTGGTCTATAATATTTTAGGCTCATGTTTTTAGATTTGCTTTTGTTATAATTAATTAAAGTTAATTAACAGCCTTAATTTACAACCAAGGAGAAGTTTTCTAGAACTGTTAATAAGTTTTTAATAGCTAGCTGCCTTCAAGTTAAGTTTAGTTGGCATTAGAGGGAGTTTTTCACTAAAGGATCTGCATTATAAAAATTCTCCTTGTTCTCTTGTTAGAATTCAGAGGTAAAACTGGCATATATCTTTAGTGTCACCTTCTATTCCACCTGTGAGAATTTCCCTCTTTGTTAATTTTGGTATTTGTTAGAAATTAGTAAAACAATTTTCAACTTTTTGCTTTTACCTGCATATGTATTTAGGAGGTGAGCTAGATCAGTAAGAGACTAGTCAAATAAATCCTGGCACACCTGTCCATATGTTGAAAACTCTGCAGCTGTAGGAAAGAATGACATGAGACAGCCTTGAGGCTGCATGGTTAAGTGAGGCAGGTGTACAGCAGTGGCTTTAGAAGGATTTGTAGTATGTGCCACGCATTTGTGCGCTTGTATGCCCAGTGCTTTCCAGACTGGTAGGAGTGGATCCCTCTGGAGAGAGAGAAGTCAGTATGGGAAGCTCAGGCTCACAGTGGGGCAGATTGCTCTTTTGTATTATCCTCATTGTGTATGTATGTGTTTTAACATGTGTATGCATTATCTATTTAAATTTTAATTTTTTAATTATTCATTTCTGGCCCTGTCCCACAAAGAATCTGACTTAGCATATCTGGGGTAGGTCCAAGAGTCTGTATTTCTTAAGAACCCAGGAGATTCTGATGGAAAGCCAGCCTACTGATAAATGTCAGTGTTACATAACTCTGTCACTTAATCTGGAAATAGGAAGAAGAGGAAGGGTGGTAGCCATGACAGCCACATAAGATCACAATAGATGACCCTCTTTTCTGGCTTGCTGGGGCTGCAGCCGGAGAATGCTCCATCCTGACTTCTGGCTGGATGATCATGTGGTCTAGGAGAAACGGAGCTTAGTAAGGAAACCTGGGTTCCCACGGGGTCTGCCAGTATGTATAGACTCTCTGGACCTCAGTGTTCTTTTTGGCAGGCAGGGTGGGGTGTGGTTTGTAGAGACAGGGTCTCTCTGTGTTGCCCAGGCTGGAGTGTAGTGGTACGATCCTAGCTTACTGCAGCCTCAAACTCCTGGGCTCAAGTGATCCTCCACCTCAGCCTCCTGAGCAGCTACGACTACAGGTGTGCACCACCATGACTGGCTATTTTTTTTTAATATATCTTTTAGAGACAAGGTCTCACTATGTTGCCCAGGCTACTCTCAAACTCCTGGCCTCAAGCCATCTTCCTGCCTCAGCCTCCCAGAGTGCTGGGATTACTGGCGTGAGCCACTGCACGGTCCACCTCAGTGTTTTTAACGCAGGAAATGAGGGGTGTTGACATTCATCAGCCAAAGACCCCCAGGAGCACATCCTGCAGCAAGGAGACCACACATCTGGGGACCTGTGGGGCATCTCTAGAGGATAATGAAGCAAGGCTGGGGTTTGGGGCCTGGAGTTAGTCACAGGACAGTTTTGGTAGGAACTGGGTGAAAACTTGTAAGCTACAGAGTTGCTGAAACAGTCAGAGGCCTTCTTTGTACAACACTTGTATCCATGCAAGTTACTGTTAGGTCAGAGTGTCTGTGGTTTTGCCTGGAATTTGTGAGTGGACACTCTGTTACGGTTAATACCTGTTTGAGCTTCTGTGATAAGCGTCACATTTCTAGATTGGGGCAGTTTACACTGTCTTGAGAGTCAGAGTACCTCATGGAAGTTGTGGTTTCATTTAAATTCTCAATTCATTTCTCCCATTTCCCCCAAGAGCTATCAGAAGTACCATTTTTCACTGTATCAGGTGTCTCTACTAGTAATTATAATTTCGATTCAGAATTTTGTATTGCTTGAAGAAAAAACAATGCTTAAATTACAGGAAATTCTGTATACAGCATGAAACTAGAGTTTAATTTACATCACAATAGTCTTAAAATATATTTTGTTGTAGTGTACCATATTTCAAATATAATACATTTAAAACACTAAAAAAATATATTGTTACCTCAATAGAACCAGGAAGACCCTGCGGTATAATTCTAAATTTATTTTTTCCCAGACGCAAGTAGGCTAGGCTCTTCAAAGGTTTGAAAGCTAAAGGATTGACATTGGCTTCACTGAGATTGTTTCCTTCCAATTCTAAGGTGACCAACTGATTTAAGTCTATAAAAAATAAAAGTATTAGAATATTAGGATAATTGAAAAACCATGCAAATTTTTGTAGCCTTTTGAAATGTCATGTGAAATGGCCGGTTTATTTGGAGGGCAAATACAGTTTTTTTTAAACCTTTGTATCCTCCTATAAAACCTTTTCTTAAGTACTTTGTACATCCCAGATGCTCAATTCAACCAGAACTAAATGCATGGTCCAGTAGTGAGGCAGACCTGAAAAAAATCATTGAAATGCTAGGTGCTAACAATATGTGTAAGGAACAGAAGCAAGAGAGAAGAGAGGGAGGGAGATAGGAAAGAGAGGCAGAGGAGTTTCCATAGAAATTGTGGTGGCTGAACAGGGATTTGGAATTCAGGTAGGAAAGGAATAGAAAGTTGTGGACAGTCATTGGAAACATTGCAAAGACATAGATGTATGAAGTGGCAGCATAATAGGCAATGGGGTGGGTAGAAGTTTAATGCAATGAATGATTTCTTTTTCTAGGACACAGAAAAGAACACTTTCCCTGGCTCACCCTCAGTCTCTGAACAAGGGAGTCAGAAGTAAACCAGAACAGTGAATTCCCATCATAGTTACTCACTTGTTGGCACAGAGTGCAGCCAAATGGAAGCTTTGAAAGAATGATGATCAAAAATTCTCCATGCATTCAGATTGAACTAGCAAGAAAGGCCTTTATACAAACAAATTTTTTCTACTTTGTTTCTACTAGTCTCAGGAGTGGTATGATCCAGGTCAAATGGAAGTTCTGTGCTGCAAAATGGACAGCTCAGCAATGATAATACCCAAAGGCATCTGAGTCAGAGGCTCAGGGTGTGGCCAAAATTCCCAGATTAGGGGATGTTTTCTATTCAACCCCCTTCATGGGCATTGCACCGAATGCCATGTGGGACTCCGTTCTGCTCTTAGGCAACAGCAAAGACGGTTGCATCAGGAATAGAAATAATAAATGCTGGAAGATTAAAAGAAGAAAAAGCAGTGTAGATGTGAGTGGTATGAAAGTGCCAGGCTCCTACAGACAGAAAGATTTAGATAGAAGTAGGAGGAACTTCCAAGCTGAAATAGCCAGCTGAGCACATGTAGGTGAAAGACCATGTGGGTTTGCTCAGGGAGAGAGGAGACTAGCCCTGGAGTGGCTGTGCACAGTGGAGTGAAGGTTGGTGCTCAGAGAGAAGTACACTGGGAGGGCCTTTTTTTACATTTTTTAAATTTTATTTTATTTTATTTAGAGACAGAGTCTTGCTCTGTCACCCAGGCTGGAGTGCAATAGCGTGGTCTTGGCTCACTGCAACCTCCGCCTCCCGGGTTCAAGCAATTCTCCTGCCTCAGCCTCCCGAGTATCTGGCATTGCAGGCCCCCACCACCACACTCAGCTAATTCTGGGAGGGCCTTTGCACCCTGGACAACAACGTCTGGCTCTCATTCTCTAGGCAGCAAGATGGGGATGGCAGGACAAGGGCCACATTTTACAAAGGTTAACCTGGTGGTGGTGCTCAGGATTAATGGAAGTGCTGAGCAACAGGAAGTAGCCAGGCCAGCCAGTAAATTGGGATAAGTGGTTATATTTCCTCATATTCTCTTTCATTTCCAAAACTAAAGGTACTGAGAATCTGACATCTTTCTCTAGTACATAGGTGAAGTTTTGAAATGCAGTGGAAGTTTTTCATTGAAAAATAGATAACAGAAATGAACTAGTGGCCATTACATGACTGAGAGAAAAAGAGAGAAACAGTGCAAATTCAGGACACTGTGTTTTCTTTTGCAATTATTCTCTGGTATATATAGGAAATAGGAGGTAACAGGAAATAGGATGGAGCTAGAGAACGTTTCTTGTAGGTGAGACTTGAGGTGGATGTTGAAAGGATTCATGGACAGGAAACAGGAAGTCTTCCATGGTGGGTGGTACCATGACAGGCTGTGGACATGGCAGGTGCCTCGATGTTCCTGGCAGGCAGCATCACATGGTCATCCACTAGAGCAGCCTCCAGGGCTCCTGATTTAGTTGTTTCAGTCATTAGTGACAACAAAAATGCTTTTAAAGCGTGCCTGGTTTTCCTCAGCTGTCCCTCCCTCCACCTTTCACACCTCTCTCTCAATTGTAAGTCCTTCCCTTTCTCCATAACACGTGTGCACATCTCAGGTGGACTCTGCTCCTCCTGCAGGTAAATTCCCTGCCCTTCAGCAAGGTGTGTGCAGCCCCTTGTGCTGCTCTTTGCTTGCCTTTCACCTTCACCGTGCCTGCTTGCAGCTCCCACAGTATCCCAAATTGTCTCATTTATTTGCATCTTTGTGCTGTTTTCTCTCCCTGGAGTGCCCTCCTTCCCCCTCTCTGGAGCTATAATCTGAAAGGTCATGAGTGAGGAGCCACCCCAAGAGAGATGACGGGAGAGCAGTGGGCCACCTGCTTCCACACAGAAGCAGGGTGCCCTCACAGCACTCCTGGCAGCCAGCCTGACCATCCACAGCATCAGGACTCCCAGCCAGGGGGAGCCCAGCACCCGAGGGGCCAGTACTGCAGTAGCTCTTAGAACTCAGCCCACCCAGGGAGTGCAGCCGGGGGTATCTGAGCCGGAGGACAGAAGCACTGCCGGCATGGGGCCGAGGCTCCTCGGGTGCTCGGACTGTGGAGAAAGGTGGGCTAAGAAAGGCAGGCAGACAGCCCGTTCACCCTGGCTTCCTGTCAACACTCTGGGAATCTAGAAGCATTTGTGAGTGAGGGAGGAGAAGAGTACTCTGGAAGGCAGTTCCAGGGGTGTGTGAAAGCACGTTCACAATCAGGAGTGCATGTTTTATAACATCTCATTTTGATAACCCAACTAAAAGTGTGACTGACTTATAGTTCATATACAGCCTGTTAGTACAGTTGTTCTAAATTGCTGACACCCTTTGGTCTTCAGCAGTTAGAAACTGAATTTTCTAATGTCTTTCCCATTTGGCAGTCTGCATCAAAATTTGTGTTTATTAATGTTTTTCTGTGTGTCCTGAAATCCATCTGGAAATTGAGTATTTCCATAACTAATCCTCAGATTTGGCAATTCTCATTATTATTGTTCTTTTCTCAATACCAGAAGTGTTTTGTTCCTGTGAAGTTTTTTGGGAGCTACAGGAAATAATTGAATTGTTTTATTCCTTTAAAGGCTTTGTTTAATAAATAACATAATAAATAAAAACATAATATGTTTCAAAGCAAGGAAACAGACAGTGTTGAGCACTGTACCTCAAGAGCTATGCTAGACTATTAGGAAGATAAAAAGAAAAGGTAGGCAGTCCTTGTCTCAAAAAAGTACACAGTACAATCAAAGGCATTAGCTAGAATTCATGAAAAGTAAAATGTGATAAAGCCTCTTCTATACAGAGTCACAATATGACAACTTCAGCTGTCTAGCACAGTCCCGAAACAAGCAGAAGAGGGGCCATTTCCAGCAATGTCGAGTGCACAGAACATGGGGCACGCTCACTAAAGGCTGTCAGAAAGCTAGGCCATGGTGGGAGCCTTGCATCCACATGCCGTGGGGTGTGGAGTTAGCAGGACTTCAGTGACATATGAGTACAGAAGTTCCAGCCCAAGCCCTCTCAGGCAGAAAATTGCCAAAGTCAAAGTTAATACCATGAAGAGCATGTGCTTTCTTTGTAGGACAGCATCTCAGCCGCATATGCAGTGCCCATTTATTCATATTCCATGCATAATTCCCATGTGCTTAGTTTTGTTTTTAGGTTCCAACACATGATAAATGAAAATAGCAAGGTGTATGGAGGCAGCAAGAGTTGTGGGTGGGGTCTGTTGACCATCAGAGTGATAAAGGAGATCCAATCAACAAACATGGCACTGGTTAGTCGCTACAAAGAACCGACAAAATTGTCGATCCATAACACAAAACACATGGCAGTGCAGGGAATATTTAGCGTAATTCTTCAGATATTTTGGATTTGTAGTAAATTTATTGCCTTGTGAATAATAAGAACCTGGAATCATTGAGAAACAATGTTATTCATGGGTAAGGTACAAAGACAATAGGCAGTTTAAAATTCATTTTACGTTTTACCAGTCAATAGTTAAAAGAAGTTTTATCAACTCAAATGGTTAAGTGACCTAAAAATATTTACTATTTATTCATTTGGCAATACAGTAAATAAAATTTCTACAGGACTATATAGGAAAGATTATAAGGAAGCATATCATTGAAAAACAAATATTAAATACCTGATAAACTTTCTTCATCGATAGCCTGAAGATTGTTCTCATTGACTTTAAGTTCTTCTAATGTAGATGGCAATTGTGAAGGAATCTGTATCAAATTATTTCCATCCATATTCAAACGCATTAACTTCTTCAGAAGCTTAAAAAGCAAATCTCAAAGTTACTTTTTTATCTAGTCACAGCTGTGCAGTCACATTTCATATAATGGTCGTGACTAAAAGTCTCACAAACCTATCCTTCCTTAGGCTTAGACAGTAATGTCCAGGCCACACAGCAAACCCCTTATTCCCCCTGCCAGGTTGATATTGATCCTGGTAATAGCATTGATTCTCAGGGATTTTCAGCAGACTACATTTGATTATTTTGTAGCTTACTCACCACGTTTATATTGCAGCTTTAGAAAGTGAGAGAAAGCTGCCATAACTACTGGATTGGTCATTCTTGCTAGATCTTAGGTTTCCACCTTTACAGCAATAGACAGAAATTTTATGAAATCATGCAGTAATCTGAAGCTGTCATGGATGCTAACAATTAAGATAGCAATCAATCCTTTAAACATACTTGTAAACCTCAGTTTTTTATCTACTCCAGAAAGGTCATAAAATAACACTAATTACTGTGGAAATTTTTCAAAACCAAGGACTACAGATATCACAAGCCATTCCAATATGGCATCCAGTTGACTGTCTGGAAAAGTGTCTTTTTCACATTTGTAGTTGTGTGTTCATTGGTCAAACCTAGCCTGTACCCCCACAAGTGGGGACCTGTGGTTGGGTAGGTTTTAGTAAAGTCCCATGGAATGATTCACTTCTCCAGTGATCATATTCAAATTTCAACAGTTTCGGAATGGGACAGAGAATTCCAAAGCAAGAAAAGGAGGTAATCTCTTACAAATTTTTCTCTTGGACAAATAGGAAAAGGACCCCCTAATGCTAGCCATTTTCTAGAAGAAGGATGGATAGCATGAAGTAGATCTAGGGTGTGAATGTAGAACCCTTTTATCTGCCAGACTCCAGATAAGAAACAGGAAATGAGAATAGAAGAGACCAGTGATTTGTCTGAAGAGTGGGTGGAAGACCCAGAAGACTGCCCAAGGGAGTAACAGTTTCACTTAGTGGAATATAGTGTGCTTTATTTTTGGCTTTTCAAACATACACATTTATGAGTTTTTGTTTACAAACATAAACCCCTTTTCTCTTGGCTCTGAAATTCCTTGAATTCTCTCTTCTTTTCTCCTTTTTGTTGTTTGAGACAGGGTCTTCCTCTGTCGCCCAGGCTGGAGTGCAATGGCGCGATCTCGGCTCACTGCAACCTCCGCCTCCCGAATTCAAGCGATTCTCCTGCCTCAGCCTCCCGAGTAGCTGGGACTACAGGTGCATGCCACCACGCTCGGCTAATTTTTTGTATTTTTAGTAGAGACGGGGTTTCACCATGTTGGCCAGGCTGGTCTCAAACTCCTGACCTCATGATCCGCCCATCTTGGCCTCCCAAAGTGCCGGGATTACAGGCATGAGCCACTGTGCCTGGCCTGTTTTTTTTTTTTTTTAAATATATAATTAGTCCAATCTGTATCTTTCAAAGGTTTACTCTGTGCTGTTTCCTGTTCTCTCTCTTTCCCTCTTCTTCCCCAAGCTATCCCTAATTTTTATATGAGCCTATTTGTTTTTCCAGAACCCCCTTCTGCCAAAGTATCCTCCATCAGGTTTTGTTGATTGCACACACAAAAAAAGGAAGCAGTGTCTTGCTGGCCTGAAAAATGTTAACAGAGGTTCCAGATAGGCTCAATTTGTTTCCAGAAAATACTTCAGATGCTAAAAGACCAGATTTTAGCATGTTTTCAGTTACTTGGGAAGAAACTACTCCATAAATTAAAATCATTACTTTTGTCACTGATGCTATTGTTGGTGTCCTTACAGCAAAGCTAAAAGTATGTAAAATAGTAAACTATATTCAAGGGAAAACTTGAATTCAAATTAGGGACATCAGAGAGGAAACTTTCTTAGAAGAAGACTACCAATTAGAAGCATTTTCCTTTTCCTCCCTTCCCCATCTCCAACCAATGCAAGTCATAGTGAAGCCATTCATCCAAATAGACAAATCAGAGCATGTATTTACCTTGAATGCTTTTGGACCTATGCCTGAAGAAGTGATATTATTTTTACTCAGATCAAGCCTTTCCAAATTTGGTAATCCATTAAATGCTTCATCTGGGATGGAGGCGATGGAATTGCCTAGGACACACAGCGGTTATGTTTTAGGCATGTGTGCATATACATACATGTACACACATGTATGGGCATGTGTGCATAGATATCAAGAGAGAGCTTTGTCTGGAGGAGAAAGCAATACTCAGAACAAGGACAGAATATATATTATATAACCAAAGCATGTTCAGAAAAGTAACAAGCTGGAAATAGATGGTTTAACATAGTTGACATTTTCTCTCTAAGGATTCATCAAGCTGTAAATATATCATGGTTTAGATGAAGGTGCTTAACACAGCCAGAATGTGGTCTGCTGGAGAGTACTGGTAACATTGTACATTTACAACAAAGGTGTGGAAGGTTACACAGAAACTGATTTTTATTCTTCATATTTTCCCATAGCCATTTTCCTGGACTAGAAACATGCCTCTGTTTTTGTCCATGAATGCTCATGCCAATCACTCACCTCCTCTGAGCCTGTCTCCATCTCTGCATAAGAAGCTTGGGGAGATCATCTCCCAGACTCTCTCAGATCTAATGTTATGCCTCTACGGCTTCAATCTACAAAGGTTCCTGTATGCTTTAATTTTATAGGTTTTTGTTTTAACATTTAGTTAAGTTCAGTAGTCAATTTTTAAACCCGGAAAGTGAGCATACCAGTAGTACATACCATAAAAGCCACGTGGTGACCTTCTTATAAAACCATAACAGTGTAGCTCAGCATGGGTCATTTATCTTTTCCAAGGCTTTAGACTTTCACAAATGGGGTTTTCTTAGGGCAGAGCATACCTGGTGTATAGGCCACAGGAGGAAGGGACTTTCCTGAGCATGAGAGGAGTTCCTTAGGTGATCATATGAAAGTAGGATGAAATCCTTTGTCAGAGAGGCCATGGAAGCTTCTATTATGTTTGACACTGGCAGTGTGCTGTCACAGATGGCCATCTCTGCACAAATGTGTTGACCTTTTCAGCTTCCCTCACCCCAGCATCTCCAGGGACACCCGTGGCATGGGGGCCTCATTACCCAGACGAATGCTCCTGCTGCTCCCAGCACCCAAAGTGTCCCCACCAGCCAGCCTCTCACACCTGGTCCTGCTGTTGTTCCACTCAGAGCCCTCCCTGGTGGTCCTATGGAAACATGGGCAGAAGGTCTAGATGACCACATTCCCTCTAGAATGTCAAAAAGGAAGGGAGAAAACAACTGACAGTACCAAGTGCGGGCAGGCTGCAGAGAGGCAGGAGCTCCCCAGCATGCAGGTGGGAAAGGAACAGCCACTTTAGAGAACTGTGGGGCATTTTCTTATAAACTTAAACATGTATTTACCATATCCGCAGTCCCACTCCTGGGCATTGCCCTAGAGAAATGAACACTTAGGTCCACACAAACATCTGTACGTGGATATTTATAGCAACTTTATACATAATCACCCCAAACTGGAAACAACTCAGATGACGTTTAACTGATAGGAAACCCTGCCCCATCCACATGATGGAACACTACTTGGCAGAAGAGAGGAATGAACTACTGATACACAAAACAAAATGGGTGGCTTTCAAAAACATTAGAAGCCAGTCTGAAAGGGCTATGTATTGTATGATTCCACTTATGTGACACTCTGGAAAAGGCAAAACTGTAGAGACAGAAAACAGATCAGTGTTCTGTGGTGGCCAGTGACTGGTGGAGGGGGAAACAAGGAATTTTGGGGAGTGATAGAATGTCCTATATCTTAATTTTGGTGGTGGTTACATGACTATGTGCATTTGTCAAAACTCAGAACTATATACTAAAAATAAGTTTTACTACATATAAATTATACCTCATTAAAGCTGATTTTTAAGAAACATCAGTAGGAAATCATCATTTGATTTGGAGGAGTTTGCTTTATACCTAACTGCTATTCTGCAGTAAACAGCTATCTCTTCTGCAAAGTTTATATATTTGAAGATTATGAAATTAGTCTATTCAGGATCAATTTTTAGGATGAAATTAAAATACAGTCTTCACAGAGCAATGAGAATCGTTCACTTTTTTTTTTTTTTTTTTTAAGAGACAGGATCTCGCTCTGTTGCCTAGACTAGTCTGAAACTACTGGGCTGAAGCCATTCCCCCACCTCAGCCTCCTGAGTAGCTGGGACTACAAGTGTATACAACTGCATGTGGCTTAGAGTCATTTACTTTTTTTTTTTTTTTTTTGAGATGGAGTCTCGCTCAAGTGCCCAGGCTAGAGAACAGTGGCTCAATCTCAGCTCACTGCAACCTCCGCCTCCTGGATTCAAACGATTCTCCTGCCTCGGCCTTCTGAGTAGCTGGGATTACAGGCATGCCCCACCACGCCCGGCTAATTTTTGTATTTTTGGTAGAGATGGGGTTTCACCATATTGTCCAGGCTGGTCTCAAACCCCTGACCTCAGGTGATCTGGCCACCTCAGCCTTTCAAAGTGCTGAGATTATAGGCGTGAGCCACCGTGCCCAGCTGCTAAGAGTCATTTACTTTTAAAGCACAAAATAAAGCAGAAGTCAACATCTCTTACCAGTGAGCTCCAGACTTGTTATCTGTGGTGCTGTCAGCGGTGGTATCTGGGTAAGCATGGCGTTGATGCAGCTGATGGTCCTGTAGGACAGAGAGCACCCGCTTGGCAGGCGCAGTGTGCCTCTGGGAGGAGCAGGAAGCGGGGATCGAGAGGGCATTCGGAACATATCTCCTCTTACCGGGTCCTCCTCGTCCTCCTCATCCTCCTCACCCTCCTCACCCTCCTCCTCCTCATCCTCCTCCTCCTCCCTTCCTTGGCGTTGTTGCTGGTGTGCCAGCCTCCTCTCCTCTCCAGGCCTCTGCTTTCTGTCTCCTCCTCTGCTGTCCCCCTCACTGTAAAGTTGCCCCTGATTTCTAGATTCAGGGGTCTCTCTCTTTTGCTCTGTATCTTCTTCTTTCACTTCTTCATCCTCCTCAGATTGAAGTGCTTCTTTTCTTACTATTCGGTCCATTCCCACCTGAGGAGGTGGCAGTTGCTTATGAAGTAAATTGGTAGGTTCTCTTTGTTCTGAAGAATCACCAGAAAATTCATTTCTATCATTTAATGCTATACCACTGAGTAGAGAATAGGAGACTAATGACCACGCAAGGATGAGGTAGCAGAGATAAGTTGATGATATTAATAAAAGAAAAAACCATAATGAAAATGAGGTTAGTAAATATTATTCCCTCCAAGTATTTGAGTGCAATTTAAAGATGAAATGCACCTTGAAATTCTTGCTTAAAAAGTTTTAATAGTCACTTTATTTCTATTTTGTAATATCTGTTACATTTTATTCACCTGTGGGCCTTAATACTAATTTTTATATTAAATAACTTAATGCTTATTTTTGCTAACATATCATGATACCTGGTGACTAAGGAGGGAATAATATTGCCACATGAGGCAAAATGGTAAGCAATCCTGTTGTGAGATTGTGTTATAATCAGTTGTGATACCTTTATAATAGATACTGTTCTGTTCACTGGGGCTATTGCTAATGTGAGAATTTGCAGACTGTTTACCAGACATTAGAAAAGTGAAACAGGTGTATATTTTACTTGCTTATAGCAGTGAAACCAACTTTTGCTTATAGATTTGTCATTATTTTTGTCCATGGCATCATAACATCATCCTCTGAAATTCAGAATTATAGAGAGAGAGTTTTCCTCCTTCTCTGTCCCAGACTCTATACTTAAATCATCTTTACTACCTGAGACTTACAAATGACATTCTGGACTTAAGTGATGTTGCTTTAACTTAGACATATGCCCAGGAGTGCTGTTTATCCTTCCATGATGGTGGGAGTAGAATAGATGATAGTAGACAGTTAATCTACATTTATATTTAGCTGTTAAGTCTTTGGCAGAAAGTGGGGAAGACATGACAAAGACTAGATTCAAATTCACTCTCTGGGTAAACAGTTCTAGGAAGAACTGATTTCACAGTGCATACTTTTTTTTCCCCCCCCCGAGACGGAGTCTTGCTCTGTCGCCCAGGCTGGAATGCAGTGGCATGATCTCGGCTCACTGCACCCTCCGCCTCCCGGGTTCAAGCGATTCTCCTGCCTCAGCCTCCCAAGTAGCTGGGATTACAGGCACCCCACCACCATGCCAGGCTAATTTTTGTATTTTTAGTAGAGATGGGGTTTCACCATGTTGACCAGGCTGGTCTCGAACACCTGACCTTGTGATCCTCCCGCCTCAGCCTCCCAAAGTGCTGGGATTACAGGTGTGAGCTACCGTGCCCAGCCAGAGTGCATACGTTTTCTTCCATCAAGATTTAAAAATTTACTTAATCATCTGCCTACTTTTATTTAACACTATATATAAACTACTCCCAAAAAGAACTCAGGAAATATAATTATTTGGAGAAATTACTTGAGATATCAATTCAGTATGTATTATAAAGTCTGTGAATTATTTTTTCACATCTCTAGCAAAACATGCAGAAGAATAGGAAAAAGTTAGTAAAAGGAAACTAAAGCTATCATATTGAAACATTTAAAATCCTTCCTGTATATCCAAGTTTATTTTTCCAAAATAACTACATTTCAAGAATACTCCAAGTCTTCTGAAAAAATTTCTGAGAATTTGTGACTCTTACTTTGTAAACCTTGTATTTATTTCACTCCAAGGAATCCATTTCATTGAACACTTTTTTCCTAACTCTTTTTAAATATTAGTGAAATATTTGGTAGTATAACGCAAAACACAATTTCTAAATAGTCAAAAGTTTTTCCTGGCAAGGAGACTTTTGTAGACACCTACCCTGTGATCATCTGTGTGCATGGGAGCAATCTACCTTGGTTATAGACAAGAGAAGATGTCCCTATCCCTTCCCAGCCAATTATTTAACAAGTATTTATTTGCTTATTTTCATAAGGTGTTGGTTAGGCTTTTCTCAGAGGAGACTGGGCCTCCCTCCCAAGGGTCCTTCATTCAGTCAGGTATGAGCCTCATTGGAGAAGGGGTCCATGAGCAGCCAACAAAACCCGCGCTGTGATCTCCTGCACACAGAAGTGCCACATGAGAAAATCATGCTTCAGGCTACACTTTTTCTGCATTTTCCTGGGATTATCCAAGCAGTGATGTGGGTTCCTGTGCTGCCTTTGAGTGGTTGGGTATAGCCAGAGGGTTGGGGCTTTGTTCTCTTTAGATGCAAATCACTCTTCCTTTGTTTACCCTGGCTTCAAGATGATAAAGGCACGTTGCACTGGATTAAGTGGGATAATGCACATATAGACCAAAGCAGAGCCCTTAATGCAATAAGAATTCAGGATCTGTTGTAGAAATTCTGTTACCATATCTCTAAAGCTGAGAGTCAAATGTGGAATGTAATCTCATCCAAGTTTACTGAATCTGATAGAGCTAGAACTATAAAGCCACAGTCTATTATTTATATCCCCTACCATACATTTTCCCAGATATTTTCTATGTTAATCAGCATTTTGCCAATATTTTAAGTACTCAGATCTGACTAATGTATCATAATTTTAATCTAAAATTAGTAACAAAAACAAATGGAAGTTAAAGATTAATCACACACTGATATTTTGCTTAGCTAAATCTCTGTACCAGTAGCGGAGCAGACCGGGCAGCATTCCCCTTCAGGTATAACTGTTTGGGGGCACCTCTGGGGATGGCACATGGTTTCATCACAAAGAACTCTTCCATCTGAGCAGAGGCAGGTAGTGCAGGGCTCAGGCGACCACACAGCTTTGTTGTACATGGTTATGCCCTTTACCAAACAGTGTCCCTTCTTTCCTAGAAGAAAACAAAAGCACAAATTTAAATTTCTTATGTGATTATCAGTAACTGTGAATGGAAGTAAACACAATGTGAAGTCAAACTGCTCTAACCACACAAGAATAGAATTCTATGTGCATTCATGTATAGGGTAAAGATGTCGTATAGACATAAGAAATGCTGAAATGCTTTTCACAGGCTCTCCTCTCAGCCCTTTCACGTAGGCTCTAAGAGTGAACTCCTCATGGTAACTTGGGGCTGAACTGCGCTTCCATTTTGTATCCATCAGGATAGATTAAATTATACAACATCAACAAACAATCCCCAAATCTCAGTTATTTTTCATTTATACTTTGTGTCTAATGTGGGGACACAGGGGCTCAGCTCATCATATTCACTCAGGATTCATCTATAAGCAGGCTGTCCTGATCACTGCGGTAGTGGAAATGTGAGGTTACAAATCACACATGAGCTCTTAAAGTGTCTAATTATACTGACCAAAGCAAATCGTATGGCCACACCAGACTTCCCAAGCCGCCAGCCAATCCAGTTCCCTCATGTGACCAGAGAGCTGAGCTAGCACTAATGATGAGCTCACAGCCCACCCTTGATATGCACATGGGAATAGGTGAAACCAGACAGCATGCTTCCGTGGTGCTTCTCAATGAGACACTGAGCTATGTCTTTTATGGTTTATTATGCTATTGAAATATGATTCACATACTATAATATTCACCCTTTTGAAGTGTATAATACTGTCTGGGCACGGTGGCTCATGCCTGTAATCCCAGCACTTTGGGAGTCTGAGGTCACTTGAGACCAAGAGTTTGAGACCAGCCTGGGCAACATGGTGAAACCCCATCTCCTCTAAAAATACAAAAATTAGCCGAGTATGGTGGCACATGCCTGAAGTCCCAGCTACTCAGAAAGCTGAGGCATAAGAATCGCTTGAACCCAGGAGGTGGAGGTTGCAGTGAGCCAAGATCGTTCCACTGTACTCCAGTCTGGATGACAGAGCAAGACTGTCCCTAAATAAATAAATAAACAAATAAAGTTCATGATGCAGTGCATATATTCATTTCCCTACATACAAGATTGTAGATATGTGGATAAGTGTATCAGCTAAGCAGGCCATTAGAAAGCTGAGGAGAATATTAGAGGGGATGTTTTTCTTCCAACCCTGGTGTCATTCCAGATAACTTTCCTCCATCTGAGCCACTGTCCCCAAGTTCCACCCCCAAATGAGCCTCTCACATTAGTCCCCTCCTTTCCCCGACCACTAACTCAGCCCAATTCAGGCCCTACCCATCTCTCATTCGAATACTTGCAATAGGCTAATCCCACCTACCCAATTCCTCCTCTGAACAAAAATACACATATGAGTTTCTTCCAGGTTATCAAAAGCACTACACTCTATCAAAATTTCCATGGCCTTTTTTTGCAGAAATGGAAAAGCTGATCCTTAAATTCAAATGGAAAAGTTGATCCCACATAACCAAAGCAATCTTGAGAAAAAAGAACAAAGTTGGAGATCTCACACTTTCAGATTTCAAAAAGCTCACTATAAAGATATGATAATCAGCTTTTGTCAGTGTGATACTAGTATAAGCATAGACGTATAGGCCAATGGAACACTGAAAGTCAGACATACATTTATGAACAATTGATTTTCAAGAAGGGTGTCAAGACCATTCAGTGGAGGAAAGAACAATCTTCAACAACTAGTGCTGGGACAACACCAGCAAGAGAATGAAGCTGAATCCCTACCTTTCACCAAATACAAACATTAGCTCAAAATGGATCAAAGACCTAATATATCTTATATTTAGACCTTTGCTGTAAATATAAGAGCTAAGACTACAACACTCTTAGAAAAATCCATAGGGGAAAATCTTTATGACCTCATATTTGGCAGTGGATTCTTAGATGTGACACCTAAAGTAAAAGATAAATTAGACTTTATCAAAATTAAAAATTTGTTGCATCAAAGGACATTGTTAAGAAAGTGAAAGGATGGTGTACACAATGGGAGAGAATATGTGAAATCATATATCTGATAAGGTCCTGATATCCAGAATATTCATAAAGAACTCTTACAACTCAACTACAGAAAGGCAATGCAATAAAAAAATGGGCAAAACTTGCCCAATACAGTGGCTCTCGCTTGTAATTCCAGCACTTTGGGAGGCCAAGGAGGGAAGATTTCTTGAGGCCAGGAATTTGAGAACGGCTTGGACAACATAATGGGATGCTGTCTCTACAGAAAAAGTTAAAAAGTTAGCCAGGTGTGGTGGTGCATTCTTGTAGTCCCAGCTACTTGGGAGGCTGAGGCAGAGGATCACTGAAGCCCAGGAGTTCAAGACTGCAGTGAGCTATGATTGTACCACCGTATTCCAGCCTGGACAGCAGAGCAAGACCCCATCTCTTAAAAAAAGAAAGAAATAGGCATAGGGGTTGAATAGATATTTCTCCAAGGAAGATATGCAGATAGACAACATGCACATAAAAAGATGCTTAACATCATTAGTTGTTAGGGAAATGCAAATCAAAAGCACAATGAGATACCACTTCATACAAGAACAGCTATAATTAAAAATAAATAACAATTGTTGGCAGGAATGTAGAGAAACTGGAGTCCTCTTCCATTGCTGGTGGGCATATAACAGCATAGCCACTTTGGAAAACATTTGGCAGTTCATCAATAAATTAAATATAGAATTACCAAATGGCCCAACAGTTCCCCTCCTAAGTATATACCCAAAAGAATTGAAAATAGGTGTTGAAAGAAAACTTATATTAATGTTCATAGCTGTGTTATTCATGATAGCCAAAAGGTGGAAACAGCCCAGATGTTCATCAACTGGTAGACAATATGGATAAACAAATATGGTATAGCCATACAATGGAATATTATTCAGCCATAAAAAGGAATGAAGTTCTGATACAGGCTAATAATAGATGAACTTTAAAAACATTATACTAAGTAAAGAAGTCAAATACACAAGGCCACATATTATGTGATTCCATTTACATGAAATTTCCAGAATAGGCAAATTCATAGAGACAGAACAGATTAGTGGTTGCCAAGGGCTGGGAGTGGGGAGAAATGGGGAGTTTAGGTACAGAGTTTCCTTTTGGTGGGACGAAAATGTGCAGAAACAAGATAGTGGTGATGGTTGCACAATACTGTGAATGTACTAAATGCTATTGAATTGTACACTTTAAAATGGATGAAATGGTAAATTTTGTGTTATGTGTGGTGATACAATCAAAAAGTACTGTAAGATCACTGGAAAATATTTTCGGACAACTTGGAAATACTTAGTATATATCTTCTGTACTTTTATGCATACCACCCTTTAGTACATATAAAAACTTTTTTTTAAACAAGTTTGAGATCACATTATGAATACTTCTTTTTCAGCCTTTTTGTTTTCCATTATTATAGCTTAGCCATCTTTCCACTTAACTAAAAAAATTGACCTCATCTTTCTTTAGCAGTTATGAGTACATTATTATTACAATGTTTTTAAGTTGATTTCTCTTCCTTTCTTTTCCCAATCATGTTGTAAGTGTGGCCTAAATTGCCTATTTTCAGGATAATTGTATATTATTTCTGTTAAATACATGGAAATAATTAACGAAGAAGCATTTAGCTGTATTGAGACAATATATGAAATACTGGCCACAGAACATTATATGGTGATATTTTCTGTTATTCTTTTGAAAGTTTTATTTAGTGGTAACATGTCTATAATATACTTTTTCCTTCCAAATTTGGAAAAATGTAAACCATTTAATACGTTTTTAAAAATGCCTAATTGAAATCTTTAGCAGAATTTTTAGTCTTTTAAATCTTTAAAAAGTCAGTGGTTTAACCTATATAAAATCAATTCAGTGGCTTTAATTCTATTTGTGGTTGAAAATTTTTGGTTGAAAATATGTAATAGCCATATGTTCACAGAATCATCTGAATAATTTATTTCTGTATTCTAGATGATCTATTGTTATAAATGGAAAGGTAGTTTATAAATGTTTATGTATATTATCTATGTTAGGATTACAACTATTTAAAATATATGCATAGTAAACATACTGGAAAGAAACCAAAATGATAACTATGATTTTGTAAATATAGTGGTAGGATAAGTAATTTTTGTCTAATAATTATAAATGTGTTCCTTAAGTTGTTTTTGGTTTTTTGGGGGTTGTTTTGTTTTGTTTTGTTTTGTTTTGTTTTTAATCTCGAGACGGAGTCTTGCTCTGTCGCCCAGGCTGGAGTGCAGTGGTGTGATCTCTGCTCACTGCAACCTCCACCTCCCAGGTTCAAGTGATTCTCCTGCCTCAGCCTCCCGAGTAGCTGGGATTACAGGTACATGCCACCACACCCGGCTAATTTTTTGTATTTTTAGTAGAGACGGGGTTTCAACATGTTGGCCAGGCTGGTCTTAAACTCCTGACCTCGTGATCTGCCCACCTCTGCCTCCCAAAGTGCTGGGATTACAGGTGTGAGCCACCGCGCCTGGCCCTATTTTTTAAATTATTTTAAAATGTATGTTTGTAGATTAAACCAAAAAGTAATATAATAACCTGGATTTTTCTTTAGAAAATTATCTTCATGGAGATGTTCTCCCTCTCTCCCTCTCTCCTTCTCTTTCCCCATACCATCTCTCACCCTCCTCCCTCTTTCTGTCTCTCTCTCATAGTGTTCTCTTACCTGGTAACACATTATAACTTGATTCTACTCCAGGAAAACTTGAAAAGGATTCAAACTTTTCCTCCATGCTATAATCAAAGTTAACAATAGGAAGTCTTGCTACTGGTGTAAAAACTGTTGTTTGCTGAATTCCAAGCTGTCTGTTTGATCTGTGCTTGTGTGAGGTTGAACTTTTCCTCAACCTTCTGTGGTAGATCTTCCTCCTTTGCTTCCTAGGAATTTCTTCATTTTTTCCAAAGTCAGTTTGAAAAATGATAAGCAGAAAAAAACAAAACAAAACTGCAATCTTCATGTTTGATTTTTTTCCACCAGCCAATTTCTAGAATGAAACAATATTTCAAAGTTAGTGGTGACTAAATTTTTACTTCTGAAAATTGGCTTATATATTTGCTTGTATGCCTCAGTAGGCAAGTCTTTGAGAAATTACACTTATGATATATGGACTATATGCTATAGTATTATTGCCAAATCATAATTTGGAATTCTTCTATCAGAATCAAAAAACTTTTTTTTTTTTTTAAATAGAGATGGGGTCTTGCTCCATCGCCCAGGCTGGAGTGCAGTGGTTCAGTCATGACTCACTGCAGCCTTGAACTCCTGGGCTCAAGCAGTCCTCCTGCATTGGCCTCCCAAAGTGCTGGGATTACAGCATGAGTCACCATGCCTGTTCAGAACTTTTTTGTATCTTACCTTTATCTTTAGACCAGGAATTAGAAACCTTTTTCTATAAAGGGCCAGATAGTAAATATTTGAGGCGTCATAGGCTACACCTTCTCTGTCATACCTATTCAGCTCTGTCATTGTAGCATGAAAGCAGCCATAGACAATATGTTGGGGACCAGCCTCAACACCACCCATAGGGTACCCAAAGCCCTGTGGCAACAAAGGAAGAGAAGAGACAGGTTAAGAGTTCATAAAGATGGGAGCCAGGGGGCCAGTTGCACAATGGAGGCTGCAAAAGGCCCAGAGTTCTGGTCTCCACACGATTTATTGAGTACAATCACTTAGATCTAAGAAGCAGATGTTTAGGGCGAAACAGTGAAAGGGAGGCAGCATGTCATAGGCGTAATCTATAGCAGTAGCGGTTTAAATGAATCTCCTTTGTGCTTAAACAGCATATCTTTAACTTATTGGAGAGTAGCTAGTAGGAGCGGGCTTAACTAGGAGCCTGTACGTCTGTCCACATTTCAGTGTTTCAGAGGAGTGTCTTTCTCCTTGAGCACAGTGTTTATAGATAAGAGAGCAGGTTGCACTCAGAGCATGGGAACATAACGGCGATAAGAAGGCTTTCCTCCTCAGAGACCTCTTGTGGCTTTCCACAACTTATTGTCCCATATTTTTATGGCCAGTTTATGCAGGCACTCCATAAGCCTTTTCCCCAACAACAATTTGTAAACAAATGAGCATGGATGTGTTCCAGGGAAACTCATTACCAGTAAAGGTGGTGGATCAGACATGGCCCCCTCTCTGGGCCCTACTGTTCTGCAGGTTTTCAAAGATTACTTGGGAGATTTCTCTCCACCTGTTTGCTAAGACGTTCTGTGACTGATGTAATCCACAACCCATTTTCCCAGCCGTTTTCTGTTTTGTGCTTTTATTCTCTAGCTTTATAATTGTCTGGGGGGAAGGGCGTGATGGTGCCATATAAAAATAACAGTCAATAGCATCAGTTATAAGGAGGTAAGAGTCAGGAAGAGTAACTCTTTAATTAGCTGGTCTCAGGGTTAGTATAGGGCCTTGCACATGGTAAAGCTGAAAAACATTTAAGAAATGAATATTTAGGCACTCTTGGTACAGTAGTAGCATTATGGTCAGACAGACTGGCGCAATCCCTGTGAAGTCTGGTGGCCAGGGACAAGAGAAACCTCCATCAAGGTGTTGCAGCAGCTGTCATCAAAGGATTCACTCAGCCAATCTCTCTTGGCCTAAAGTTAGTCCTACAAAGGAAGGTTGGCAGTTTTGACTGCCTCTCAGAATTCTACAGCTGAGAAACACACACATACTCACATACACACACCTATACCCCTTGCAGCTTTCCTCCTGCTCTTGCCTCAGGTCCACTCACTGTCAGTGTTTCCTGAGATGAAAAGCCTTCCTTACACAGCCAGTATGGAGGAGAAACTAAAACCCCAGGGATCATAAGAACCCAGATCACAACAGATTTGCCGCTGTTATCTTTTTAATGGGAATTTAAGGTATTTGGTGATTCTAGAAGGTTAAAGTAACTAACTTGCTCAGTGATGAAATTTATTTCAATTCTCACAGGCATACCTTGGTCTCCTTTGCCAACCAGAACAAATCTATGATAGGAAGGAATGGTAAAACATTCAAGGTGATGTTACATACAGAGATGAATACCCTAAACTGCAAAGGAGAGGCATTGAAGGATTAAGGGATAAGTGGCCATAGACTGCTAACCCAGTCATCTTGTTGGAACCTCAGAAAATACCTGAGAGGCCAGGCACTGTGGCTCATGCCTGTAATCCCAGCCCTATAGGAGGCCGAAACCAAGGTGGGAGGATTGCTTGAGGCCAGGAGTTTAAGACCAGAGTAAGGAACATAGCAAGACCTTGTCTCAACTAAAACATAAAAAATTAGCTGGGCATGGTGGTGCATACCTGTAGTCCTAGCTACTCAGGAGGCTGAGGCAGGAGGCTCACTTGAGCCCAGAAGTTCAAGGTTGCAGTGAGCAATGATTGCAGCACTGTACTCCAGCCTGGGTAACAGAGCGAGACTCTGTCTCAAAAAAAAAAAAAGAAAAGAAAAAACCTGAAAGACCCTGCAAGCATTTGACTCAATCTTTCTGTCTGACCATTTGACCAAAGAAAGTACAGTCATGTACCACATAATGACTTTTTTGTCAGTGACAAATTGCATATACCATGATGGTCCCATAAAATTATAATGGAGCTGAAAATCTCTTATTGCCTAGAGACGTCACAGCATCATAGCATAACGCATTACTCATAATGTTTGTGGTGATGCTGGTATAAACAAACCTACTGCACTTCCAGTCATATAAAAATACAGCACAGGCTGGGCGCGGTGGCTCAAGCCTATAATCCCAGCACTTTGGGAGGCCAAGGTGGGTGGATCACCTGAGGTCAGGAGTTCGAGACCAGCCTGCCCAACATGGTGAAACCCCATCTCTACTAAAAATATAAAATTAGCTGTGTGTGGTGGTGCACGCCTGTAATCCCAGCAACTCGGGAGGCTGAGACAGAAGAATCGCTTAAACCCGGGAGGCGGAGGTTGCACTGAGTAGCTAGGACTACAGGTATGCACCACCATGCCCAGAGTGCAGAGAGACTCTATCTCCAAAAAAAAAAAAAAAAAAAAAAGCACATACAATTATGTACAGTACAGTACATAATACTTTCATATACAACTATATTACTGGTTTATGTATTTACTATACTATACTTTTTATCATTGTTTTAGAGTACATGCCTTCTATCTATTTAAACAAACATTAACTGCGCAACAGCCTGAGGTGGTTCCTTCAGGAGGTATTTCAGAAGAAGGCATTCTTATCATGAGTGTTATTACCCATGAAGACCTTCCAGTGGGACAAGATATGGAGGGGGAAGACAGTGATATTGATGATCCAGACCCAATGAAGGCCTAGGCTAATGCGTGTTTGTCTCAGTTTTTAACAAAAATGTTTGAAAAGTTAAAAAATAAAAATAGAAAAAAGCTTACAAAATTACGCTATAAAGAAAGAAAATATTTTTGTACAACTGTACAATGTATTTGTGTTTTAAGCCAAGTGTTATTAAGAAGGAATTTTTTTAAATTCTTGAAACAAATGAAGATGAAAACACAGCACACCAAAACCTATGGGATACAGCAAAAGCAGTACTAAGAGGGAAGTTTACAGCAATAAACACCTACATCAACAAGTAGAAAAACTTCATATAAACAACCTAATAATACATCGTAAAGAACTAGAAAAGCAACAGCAAACCAAACCCAAAATTAGTGGAAAAAAAGAAATAATAAAGATCAGAATAGAAACCAAAAAAACTATAGAAAAGAGGAATGAAATGAAAAGTTTTCTGAAACGATTAAAAAAATCAAGAAGCCTTTAGACAAAGAAAAAAAAGAGGAATGCTATTACAAAAGAGTCAAAATTTTTTAAAAAATAAAAAGTATATAAAGTTAAATTACAGTAAGCTAAGGTTAATTCATTATTGAAGAAATAAAAAAACTTTTTTATAAATTTAGTAGACTCTTAGTGTACAGTGTTTATAAAATTTACAGTAGTGTATAGTAATGTCCTAGGCCTTCACACTCACTCACTGACTCACCGGAGTGACTTCCAGTCTTCCAAGCTCCATTCATGGTAAGTACCCTAGATAGTGTACCATTTTTTAAATTATTTTAGACCATATTCTTACCATACCTTTCCTATGTGTAGATATGTTTATTATTTATTTATTTATTTATTTAGAGACAGGGTCTGGCTCTGCCACCCAGGCTGGAGTGCAGTGGCACCATCTCAGCTCACTGCAACCTCCGCTTCCTGGGCTCGAGCCAATCTCACACCTCAGCCTCCCGAGTAGCTGGGACTACAGACCCGTGCCACCATGCCCAGCTGATTTTTATATTTTTTTTGTAGAGACAGGATTTCACTATGTTGCCCAGGCAGGTCTCAAACTCCTGAGCTCAAGTGATTCACCCACCTCAGCCTCACAAAGTGCTAGGATTACAGGCATGAGCCCCCACACCTGGCTTTAGATATGTTTAGATACACAAATACCATTCTGTTCCAGTTGCCTACAGTTTTCAGTACAGTCATGGGCTGTACAGGTTTGTAGCCTAGGAGCAATAGGCTCTACCATATAGCCTAGGTGTATAGTAGGTTGTCCCATCTAGGTTCGTGTAAGTACACTTTATGATGTATGACAACAAAATCATGTAACATCACATTTCTCAGAATGTATCCTTGTCGCTAAGTGACATATGACTGTAATTTGTTGATATCCAGATTCTTAGAAGTCTGCTTCACAACCTAAGACAAGCTGTGGGAAATTCCAAGGGTATCTAAACTGAAAACCATGAGCATGAGCTCAGGGTAATGAATGCCTTCCTCAAGCCACAGTGTCTACCACCCAAATGTTTAGGAAATGCAGGGTGATCAGTGCTAAGTCTTGGCAAATATTGTGATTGTTTCTTAGTAGAAACCTACAATGGTAGTAGCAAACATATGGCTGCCATCCTGGGTCCTTGGCCTAAGTACAGATGTCACTAACTGACCTATTTTTTACATTCTGCATACAGTATATCACCTGAAGGCCAAGAAAATGAGCATGGTTTTGTGGAGATCACCTTCCCTGTATTGCCATAACAACATTCCTACTAGTTTGACAACTAGTAACCAGAGTGGCTCCATGAAGTAGAATGATACTCTAGGAAGCGACCATGATGTAACTTCAGACTTTTGGAGAGTCTGTGAAGTTACATCATGGTCGCTTCCTAGAGAATCATTCAGCCATTACACCAGTATTATGACAAAACTTATCAAATCTGACTCCCAGCCAACATGGAGTAATAGGGACTACGTATACCTTCCCACCTGAAACAACTTAAAAATAGAGCAACATATATCTGAAGCATTTTCCAAACATTAAACAAAGAGCAGTCCAGGCCAGTGATCCCTGAAAGGGGATGCAAATCAAATGCCCGGAGAGACCTGTGATTGACCTGCTTACTCCCTCAAGGGAGTTGCAGTGAGGGGAACACAGGCAGAGTCCAGCAGTCTCCATAAGTTGAAAAGATACAGCTGGAAATCTGAGGACACCAAAGAGACTAGTGTTCCTAGGGCAGAGTACAGAGAGGTGAGAGCTAGCCCAGAGGAACCCTTCCAGAGATGTGAAGTCTTCCACTGAGTACTGGATAGCACATGTATGTAAGTAAACTATTAATACTTGAGACTGGGAAAAGAACTAACCTAAAGGACAAAGGGGAAAACAAAGCAAAACAAAACAAAAAAAACAGGTCTCTGGAGCTTAAAAAAGACCAGGAAGAGTTTGTGTTCCACCAGTCAGAGTGGAAAACCTTACAATTCACAGGGCATCTGGTAGAGTACTCAGAAGAGCATTAGCTCAGTAGAGGAAAATAATTAGCCCTAGGCTAAAGGCTGCTGTGATCCCATTTAATAAAGCTTAAAAGCAAGCCTTTCTGAAAGAATTAAACTGCGTACAATAACTTGACAGTGTCTCAGATAACCCAACAAATGTTTTAGGATCCAATGTAAATTTACCAGGTACACAAAGAAACAGGAAAAGTTGACCCATAATGGGAAAAATCAGTTTATTGAAACCAGTTCAGAAATGACAGTGCTGATATACTAATAAAGTAGGTGTTTAAAAATCATTATACCTATATTCTATATGTTCAAGAAGTGAGAAGAAGGATTAACCATGTAATGTAGAAACATAGAAGATATTTTTAAAAACCCAAATCAAACTTTTAAAGATGAAAACTACAATGTGAGAGAGAAAAAATACATGACAAGGGATGAATAGCAGATTAGACATTACCAAAAATAATTGGTAAACTTGTTTTCAAAAACTGCAAAAAGAAATAGACAAATCCACAATTGTCATCCAAAATTTCAACACTTCAATCCTAAATATTAGTTTCAAAAATAGTAGACAGATTACAAATTAAAATGAGATGCCTCTACATACCTACCAAATGTCTAAAACCCAAAACACTGACAACACCCAGTGCTGGTGAGTGTGTGGAGCAACTGTAAGTCTCATTCGGTGCTGGTGGGAATGCAAAATGGTACAGCCACTTTGGAAGACACTTTGGCAGTTTCTTTTAAAACTTAACATACTGTTGCCATACAACCCAGCAATCGTGCCCCTTGGTATTTACCCAAATAAGATGAAAATCTATGTCCACACAAAAACCTGCACGCAGATATGTATAGGAGCTTTATTCATAATTGCCAAAACTTAGAAGCAACCAACATGTTCTTCAATAGGTGAATGGAAAAAAAACTATGGTATATTCAGACAATGGAATATTATTCAACACCAAAAAGAAATGAGCCATCAAGCCATGAAAATACATGGAAGAACCTTAAATGCATATAATATATAACTAAATGAAATAAGCCAACCTGAGATGGCATATGTATGATTTCAACTCTATGACATTCTAGAAAGGGCAAAACTATGCAAGCTATAAAAGAATAGTGAATTTGGGGCGGAGAGGGATGAATAGGTGGAACACAGAGGATTCTTAGGGCAGTGAAACTCTTCTGATACAGTATAGTCAGCCCTTTATATCACAGGTTCTGCATCTGTGGATTCAACCAACCATGAGCGAAAAATGTAGTTTGGCCTATGTAGCTTTTGTGCTGAACATATGCAGACTTTTTTTTCTTGTCATTGTCCCCTAAATGATACAGTATAACAACTACTTACATAGCCTATACAGTGTATTAGGTGTAAGTAATCTAGAGATTATTTAAAGTATACAGGAGGATATGTGTATTATATGCAAATACTACACCATTTTATATAAGGAACTTGAGCAGCCTCAGATTTTGGTGTCCTTGAGGGATCCTGGAACCAGTCCCCCAAGGGTACCAAGGGACGACAGTACTATAAAGGTGGGTACATGTCATTAAAAATTTGTCAAAACCCAAGAATACAGAGTAACAAGAGTGAACCCTAATGTAAACTATGGACATTGGGTGATAATGATATGTCAGCATAGATTTATCCATGGTGTGAGATTTTGATAGTAGGGGAAAAGCACATATGAGAACTCTGTACTTTCCACTCAGTTTGCTCTGAATCTAAAACTGCTTTGAAAAAAAGTCTGTTAAAAAATTAGTAGTCATTTTATGCCAATAAAAAGTAATTAATATTTTTTAATTAGTAGACAGAATATCAATAAGGATTTTAAAGACTTTAATACTATTAACCTATTTGTTCAAATTGTCCTAATAATTTGCCTTGTTTGTCCTAATGATTGTAGGTATGTACAAATTTAGTCGTTATATCTTTCTGGTGCATTTATCATTAGGTGGATACTTTCAGTGTCTCCGGGAGTGCTTTTGCTATAAGATCTACTTTGTCTAATATTAATGTAGTTGCATTTTTTTTCTTTTTTGACTTTTTAGATTCAGGAGGGTTGTATGCAGGTTTGTTAACTGAGTATATTATGTGGTACTGAAGTTTGGGATATGAATGATCCCATCACCCAGGTACTGAGCATAGTACCCAACAGTTTTCCAATCCTTGTTCCTCTCCCTGCCTTCTTCCCATGTCTATTGTTGCCATCTTTATGCCCATGAGTACCCAATGTTTAGCTCTTACTTATAAGGGAGAACATGTGGTCTTTGGTTTTCTGCTCCTGCATGTAATTGCTTTCTTTTGATTAATGTCTGCAAAATATATGTTTTGCTGTCTTTCTATATTTTTATATTTTCAGTATACTTCCTATTAGTGGCATATTGTGGAGTTTTTTAATGCAGTTTAACAATTTTTGTCTTTTAATTGGAACATTTAGGCTGTTTATATTTAATGTAAAATTTAATGTTTGAATTGAAATATACTTTCTATTTGCTTTTTATTTGTCCTACATGTTCTATGTTCCTTTTTCTGTTTTCTTTCTTTTTAACTTGTTGCTTGGTTTTTATTATTTCATTAGTAATTATACACTTTTTACCATTCTTTTCTTTGTAGAGATTACCACATACATCCTTGACTTATCAAAGTCTTAATATAAATTAGTACCTTTACCTCTTCCTGGACAATACAAGAACCAGGATGAACTTCAACTCCATTTACCCTATCCCAGTATATATTCTGTTTCAGTTCTGTGTTTTAATTATATATGTATTTTTAAACCCTCAAAAGATTATTTTTATTTTGTCAAAGTTTATTTAGATCAGATTTTTCATCCTCATCACTATTAACGTTTTGCGCCAGATAATTCTTTTTTTATGGGGAGATGCCCTGTATATTATAGGCTATTTATCAGCAATCCGTGGCCTCTACCCACTAGATGCCATTAGTACCTTCCTCCTAGTTGTGACAACCAAAGAATGTTTCCAGGCATTACCAAATGTAACCCGCCCCTCAATTGAGAACCACTTGTTTAGGTTTACCTAAACATTTATCATTTTCCTTCGTTCCTTCCTATATCTACTTTCTTCTATTAGGATTATTTTCTTCTTGACTGAAGATCACCTTCTAATAATTCCTTTTGTGCAGATGTGTTGATCAGTTATTTTTGTTTACCTGAAAGGATGTATTTGTTAGATATACATTCTGGGGTTGACAAGTGTTTTCTTTCAGCATTGTGAAGATACGGTTGATTTTTTCCCCCTACACTTTCATTTCCTTCCTAGCTTCCAGTATTTTATTGTTGCCTTCTTCCCACCTACTTTTCTTTTTCTTTTTTTATTTAATGTTTTTTTTTTTTTATTTTATTTTTTTTTTGAGATGAGGTCTCACTATGTTGCCTGGGCTGGCCTTGAATCCCTAGGCTAAAGCGATCCACCTGACTCAACCTTTCGAGTAGCTGGGACTACAGGCACGAACTACCACACCCGGCTCGAAGATACAATTTCTATGTCTTCTTTTTTCCATTGTTTGTTTTGAGAAATCATCTCTCAATCTAATTTTTTCACTTTTAAAAGTAATTTTTTTTCTCTCACTGTTTTTAAGATGTTCTCATTGTCTTTGGTTTTCAGCTGTTTCACTCTGTATACAAAGATATAATTTTCTTGTTTTTATCCTATTTGGCACTTCTTGAATTTGTGGCCTGATGTTATTCATCACATTTGGAAACTTCTCAGCCCTTAACTATACAAATAGTACATTCTCTTTTCCCTTTTTTCATTCTTTCTATAACTACAGGTACTTGCATATCAGCTTTCTCATTGTGTCTTTAATGTCACTTTCCCCTCATTTGTATTTTTTGTTTGTCTATCTCTTCAGTGATTCATCCTGGTTATTCTCTGAACTGATCTTCCAGTTCATTGATACTCTCTTCATCTGTGATTTATCTGCTATTAAATCTATCCATTGACTTCCTTGTTCTTTTATTGTATTTTCTAGTTTTCAGGTTTTCAGTATGTTCTTTTTGTTTCCAATTCTTTGTTAAAAATTTTAATCTCATCTTTTATTTTTTTAAACATATTAAAAATATTTGTTTTAAAGTCTGTGTCTGAAGACTAGGTTTTCTGGATCCTCTATGTGTCTATTTCGGTTGTCTCTTATTTCTTTAGGTTTTTAGCCATGTTTTGTCTCTTCATATACCTGATGACCTTTGATGGAGTGCCAGATATTGTATATGAAAATACTTGAGAATTTGCGTCTGTTTCAGGCATAAGGTTAAGTACATTATGAATAGAATATTGAGTGATTTGAAGCTGGGCTTCACCATATTGAATTAATAATTATGCTTTGGGCTGGGTGCGGTGGCTCAAGTCTGTAATGACAGCACTTTGGGAGGCCAAGGCTAGCGGATCACAAGGTCAGGAGTTTGAGACCAGCCTGGCCAATATGGTGAAACCCCGTCTCTATTAAAAATACAAAAAAAATTAGCTGGGTGTGGTGGCACGCGCGTGTAGTCCCAGATACTCAGGAAGCTGAGGCAGGAGAATCACTTGAACCCGGGAGGTGGAGGTTGCAGTGAGCCGAGATCACACCACTGCACCCCAGCCTGGGCGATAGAGTGAGACTCGGTCTCAAACAAAAAAAAAAAAAAAAAAAAAAAAAATATATATATATATATATATATATATATATGCTTTGGGTCCACTTCACTTTTCCTACCATCCCCCACTGCTTGCTTGCCTCCATTTTGTTTGTTTGTTTGTTTCTCTCTGTCCTCCTGAGGCTGTTTTAAAACTCTATTAATCTTCTCAACCACCTCTTCTGGAATCCAGATGCTTCTAGAAGAAAAACTGTTCTAAACCTCTCTGGGTTTCAGTCCCATCCCAAATATTGGCCCTGTTGTTTTTCTCACCCTTTCTAGTTATTCTCAGCAGGTCTAATGATCTGACTTGCCTTGTCTGCCATTATCAGAAGGAGAAGCTCCCTCAGATTCCTTTTATTTCTTGCAGAAATATATCCTCTTTTTCTCAGAGAATGTTGTAAGTTGTAAAATTCTGTGCTCTTATTAAAGATCTGAAAATGTCATTGTTTAATTGGAAACAGAATTACGGTTTCAAAATCATTCTAATCATTTTTCTTTAATACCTTATAGATATTTGTCCATTATTTCTTATATTTAGTGTTGCCGATGAGAAATTTGACTTGAATCTGATTCTCATCCCTTTGTAAGAAATTTTTTTTCTTTCTATAGAAATTTTTTTCAAATTTTCAACATATCTTTGATATTTGGAAGTTTTACCTTGGTAAAAGAATGGAATGTACCTTGGTATAGGTTGTTTTTGCTGTTTAATGTATCCTTCTTGGGATCTTTTAAACTAAAAACTTCTTTTTTTCCTATACAAGCTCTCTTCACTCTGTTTTCTCCCATGACTGTTCAAGGGTACATTTTTCCTCTTTAAATTCATTTCTGTCTTCTCTTTGTCTGTGAAGGACTCCTCAGAGTGTCTGTCCCACCAGGAGCTCCCCTTTTTATTTCCTAGTGTAGCTGTATATTCGTGCATTTATTTGTCTGTAATATATCTTGTATTATTTCAAGGGAGTTGGTGAGAGGGGAAGAGGGCACAAGGTCAGCTCAGTTTCCCCTCTTGAATCTCAGTACTTCTTTTTATAACTTCATCTGCCAGAATCATCTTCCTCTAGTCAGGTTTCACTTAGTTAGTTCATAGTCTGACTTGCCACATCACCTTTGTTCAACAAACGGCAGTCTCTAAAGTATCTTCATGCCAGCATACAAACCTTTCTTCAGCGTATATATACATTAATTGCCACAGTCATTTGAAAACCATTACTATAGGTTATTGAAATGACCTATATTTCATAGGTTACTGGAACAACTTTTTGAACAACTTTTTGCAATCTACTTTAGTTTTAGAAAAATTAACATGCAGCATGTAAAGAAGGACCAAATCCATTAGCTGATTGGCACCTGAAATCATAAAAGTCAATTCAGAGAGCAAAGTAGTATGTTGGAAGGGAATAACAACAACAGCAGGGGAAAGCAATATGAAAACCTGAACTGAGAGACAAAGTGAAACTAGAATTTGCTGAGTGGCATGGCAAGTGTGCTCTGATGGATATCATAAGTGCTCTGCAATGCATGAAATGTATACATTGAAATTTTCTTGCATTAACAATTGTATGTGCAGACCTTCCATCCTGTTGTGAGGAGTCAGGGCCTAGACCTCGAGGCTCTAGAGTTAAACTCTCATGAGGGTCTCAGGCATCCTGCTGTCCTGAGGCATCCTGAAAGCACTCACTTATGGGGCATTGCCTGATTGAGTGCTTAGGAGTGTGAATGTGCCAGCTGTGGCCATTCTGAGCACACCCCTCTCTCCCAGTATCCTCATTCTGGAAACTACCTCTCTTTCTTTTTTTCCCCCAAATTGACTCACTTTTACTTACCCAGAAATCTAAATAGATAGGCACAGAAATAAACTTACAGAGCTATTTGAATTTTGACAAAATCAGTATCTAAACAGTCTCACTACAGTGTTTAAATACATTTTAGGAAATGGTCTCTCAATACTAATTTTACTATTAATGCTTAGGCCCTCATTATTTTCATTGATATACAGAATTTTGCTTTGCACTTAATATTTGCTTTCATAAACAACTTCGTAATTGAGTGTTTGCCTCCTAGAGGTAAATTTTCTGGGATTCCAATCATAGTATCATTTTTATCAAGTAATTTTTTTCCTTCTAGCACTTACTGTGTTTATCCCAACATTAAATATTATTTATAAACCTTGATTAACTTATTTTTCTTCATTTAAAATTTCTTACCAGTTATCTTAAGTAAACTTTAAAAATATTAATTTAGAATTTTAAAATTCTACATGAAGTCATGAGATGTCTATTATCTATTTTCACTTCATTCAACAGATTTAAAATGAAAAATATTTTGAATTATTTATGTTCTTTTAGGACTTAAAAATTAATAATATTTTCAAACCAATTTATACTTCTATTGAACACATAATTCCACCTAAACATATAAAAATAATTTAATACTAAGTATACAAGGTCTGAAATACTTGGGAAGTACATCGTGAAAAAAACAAACAGAATAATGCATACTTTGAACTTTAAAAATCTATTAGTAACGAGCTAATTTACTCAAGAGTTAAACAGTTGTGAAATAAAATACCCAAATATTAAAACCATTCCACATGCTAAGTAGAAACTTAAAATTTAAAACTTTTTTACCTGGAGATCTAAACTAAGTAGGCTTTGCTTGGTGTCATTTAAGTCTCCAGCTGAAAATGAAACAAAATCAGAGCTTTCTTTAAAAACAAAGAAAGGACAGAAGGGAATGTTGAAAAGTATTTGCTGAACTTCTTAGTAAAATCTAAAATAACTGCCTCCCTTGGGGATAAATGCCTTTCAGTTCTTTGTGCAGAAAATCAGCCAAGAAAGTAACCAGGGAAAATGGTTACCAAGGGAAATATTTTTTTTAATCATAAGAAAAGTAGAAAACAGCAGTGGGTGTGGGGGAAGAGCATTTTGTTTGCAGGCTGAAAAGGCAGAGTTGGAAACACAAAAATGAGCTTGATTAAGAAATCTGTGGTTTTCATAGACTATTCGCATTAAAAATGTTAAAGTTTATACTAGCCAGGATGATGTCACTTGAGCTTTATCAGATTATAGGGATGATATTCTCGTCAGCTAAAGGCTGTGTATATCTGGAATCTATTTTAAATTGGATTAATAATATTTAACTCATCTGCCCACCCACCTCGATCTCACACACAATACTAACAAAACGACAACAACAAAAAAATGGTTACGTATTAATATCAGTGGAAATTATGTAACTTCTAACCATGAAATAATAGAAAGAAAATGTGAAAGGGAGCTGTGTGGCTCCTAATTACCTGTTACGCTGGCAAATTAGTTGTGTACTTTGGCCTCAGTTTCTTTATCTGCAAATGAGAAGTTAGAGACAGATCAGGATTCCAAGCGCAACCCTGCTGTTTATGAGGGACCTTGAGTAAGTTACTTAATGTTTCTGACCAAAGTTCACTCTTCTGTAAAACTAGGGTGATACCTTTCAAATTTTTCTGAAAATAAAAGGAATAACAGATATGAAGGTCCTAACTCAGTGCCTATCCTAGACTAGGTAATTTTAGAACTATTTTTTAAATTTTTTTTTTTTTTTTGAGACGGGAGTTTTTGCTCTGTTGCCCAGGCTAGAGTGCAATGTCGTGATCTCAGCACACTGAAACCTCCGCCTCCCAGGTTCAAGGGATTCTCCTGCCTCAGCTTCCCGAGTAGGTGGGCTTAAAGGCGCCTGCCACCATGCCAGATTAATTTTTGTATTTTTTTTTTTAGTAGAGATGGGGTTTCACCATGTTGGCCAGGCTGGTCTCGAACTCTTGACCTCATGTGATCCACCCACCTCGGCCTTCCAAAGTGCTGGGATTACAGGCATGAGCCACCGCACCTGGCCTGAAATTCTTATATCGTTATTTCAGGGGTCCAAATCATTTGGCAAAGAGGAGCTAAATATTTGTTTAAATGACGTGGTTAGACTGAATCAGGATTTTGTAAAATGACCTAGATAGACTGAATCAAGATAAGGGACTAAATACATAAGCCACTCAACTTCCTAAAAATAAGGAAAATGATATCTATTTTTAAAAATGTAAAACTAGCTGAGTGCAGTGGCTCACACCTGTAATCCCAGCACTTTGGGAGGCAGAGACAGGTGGATCACCTGAGGTTAGGAGTTTGAGACCAGCCTGGCCAACATGTGAAACCCCGTCTCTACTAACAGTACAAAAATTAGCCGAGTATGGTAGCACATGCCTGTAGTCCCAGCTACTCAGGAGGCTGAGGTAGGAGAATCACTTGAACCTAGGAGGCGGAGGTTGCAGTGAGCCAAGATTGTGCCATTGCACTCCAGCCTGGGCAACAGAGCGAGACTACATCTCAAAAAAGAAAAGAAAAGAAAAGAAAAAGATGAGTACAAATGAGCAAACACCATTAAACAGGCAGTTCATAGAAGAGGAAATGTCAGTGGTCAATAAAACAGAAGAGGAAGATTTCTCAATCTCAGTAACAGTCAAGAAAAGTAAATTAAAACAGGAAGGTTATTTTTTCACTACCATAGTGAGATGTTGCTGACAAAACTTTGGGGGTAGAAAAATTACCCAAATAATGCCAATGCTCAATCAAGCTTGAAGACCACTGCTAATCAAAAATCATGGCCTGATTTGAAATACATACATTGTTTTTTGGGGGAAAAAAATGTTGATGATATGCTGTGTTGGCCAGTGTGTAGGGAAAACAGAAACTCTCCTCTTCCTTGAGGACAGCTGAACAGTAGCTATGCTGTCTGTCCTACCATTTCACCTCTAGGAACCCATTGTAGAAACACCTCTTTCTGTACAAAAGTGTGCCTTCAAGGAAGTACTCTGAAGTACTGTAACCATGGATTAGAAAAAAAGTTAACCCAGTTGTGTATAGATAGAGAACAAAGTGGGCTTACCATAAAGCTATTTGGAGAAACAGAAGTAACTCCATTAATACCACCATGCATAGTTGTCCATGCTATACCAGGAATAAAGAGATTTTCAAAACTGTACATGTATTATGATCTTACCTTCTTTTGATGTATGTAATTTAGCATTTTACTAGAGAACAAATTGGAAGGAATAAACAACAAAATATTAACAGTAATTACAGCGAGACTTTTACTATGTTCTTTTATATTTTTATCATGTTTTGAGCTTTGTATAATCAGATAAGAATAACTTAAAAAGAATACAAACAATCAAAAAAGAAGTAACTCTTAAAGTAACAGCACTGAGGAATACCAGTAATTACCACGATGAGATTGAGAAGGTTGCAGAAAACCAAATTTTATAATTTCTGAGGTTCCTGCTCTAAAATTTTGTGGTTTAATGGACTGTTACATGAGTCCTTTTGCAGAAACTATTTTAACCACACTAGCACATGGAAAATGCTGGTATTATGGTTTCTCCTACCCCCTTTATTATTGCAGACATGATTATGTCCCAAAACTTGGTTCTGACAACACTCTGCAGGAATGTGGTATTGGTCACCAAACAACATGAGCAGAGTGAGCATTACCCGTGCCACAGGGCCATCTGCCTATGAAGATTTAGACTCTAGGACATTTCTTTCAGGTGATATTTAAGTAAAATCACCTTTTCAGTATTTTTCCTGATTGTCTAGAGTACCAATAAATTGGGGTTTTTTTTAAGGATGCAATTGTCTACCATATGACAGCTTTGTAGATATTAATACCCAAATAAAGGTAAATTTTGGAAATTTTAAGTAGGGCCATACTCAGAAATTAGTTTTACCTTGTTCAGCCCGAATAAGGAGGCTTAAAGCTGTGCCTACAACCCCTGCCCACGCACTGAATATTAGGTACAATGTTCCGGTATCTTTATGGTTAGTTGAGAATAGTCAACGGTTGGCCAACGTAAGTGGAGTAGGGCGAGGTAAAATGGCTGAGTAAAGCATTAGACTGTAAATCTAAGGACAGAGGCTAAACCTCTTTTTACCAGCCCGGAGGTGACTTTCATGTTGAATTGCAAATTCAAAGAAGCAGCTTCAATCCTGCCAGGTTTCTCCCGCCTTCCCCCGCTCCCCCACCCCCCACCCCAACCCACTGCCTGTGGAAGAAGTAGATTGAAGCCAGTTGATTAGGGTATTTAGCTGTTAACTACATTTTTATGGGTTTGAGTCCCATTTATCTAGTAAGGGCTCAGCTTAATTAAAGTGATTGATTTGCGTTCAGTTGATGCAGAGTAGAGTTTTGCAGTCCTTGGGTTTGCAGAAATTAAGTATAGCCTACTTACTAAGGGCTTTGAAGGCTCTTGGTCTTGTTTAACCTAAATTTCTGGAAGATAAGCAGGGTTAGTGGCTAGATTGGTAGGAGGAAGATGGAGAGGATGCTAAGTGAGGGGAGGAGTAGTATGGACTTTGTTCTAGGACTGACCTCTTGGCCCATAGTTCAAATGCCTTTTAAGCTATACTAAAGTGTTACAGTTGCTTCATTTACTTTAGCTGAACTTACTTTCCCAATGGAATATTACATTTAAGTGGAGTAATGATATATAAGTATCCCACAACTCATTCAACCATTCCCCTATTGATGGACATTTGGGTTGTTTCCCCTTTCCCCCCTCAAATAGAATGGGCTTTTTGAGTTTGTGTACGCATTTCCAGGTTGCTTTCCAAAAAGGTTATAGTAAATAATGTATACTTTCACCAGAAATATATAAAATGCCCATTTCCCTGCCACTTTATTTTTTAAACAGTTTTCACATTTTTGAATGGGTAATACATATAAGTGGCATAAATTTTTAAAGTGCACAGTTAAAATTTCAGTTTTCTATATCCAATACTGATAGTTTGATACCAACCTTCCCATTGAAGTAAGAAAGAAATGAGATCAGCCGGGCGCGGTGCCTCATGCCTGTAATCCCTGCACTTCGGGAGGCCGAAGCTGGTGGATCATGAGGTCAGGAGATTGAGACCATCCTGGCTAACATGATGAAACCCTGTCTCTACTAAAAATACAAAAACTTAGCCAGGCAAGGTGGCATGCGCCAGTAGTCCCAGCTACTTGGGAGGCTGAGGCAGGAGAATCCCTTGAACCCAGGCGGCAAAGGTCGCAGTGAGTCGAGATCATGCCACTGCACTCCAGCCTGGACGACAGAGCGAGACTGTCTCAAAAAAAAAAAAAAAATGAGATCACATATAAAAACATCTTAAAATAATCAATGAAGGCTGGGGGCAGTGGCTCATGCCTGTAATCCCAGCACTCTGGGAGGCCAAGGTGGGTGGATCACAAGGTTAGGAGTTCAAGACCAGCCTGGCCAACATAGTGAAACCCCGTCTCTACTAAAAATACAAAAATTAGCCGAGCATGGTGGCACGCGCCTGTAGTCGCAGCTACTCGGGAGGCTGAGGCAGGAGAATCACTTGAACCTGGGAGGCAGAGGTTGTGGGGAGCCGAGATCACACCACTGCACTCTAGCCTGGGCAACAGAGCACGACTCTGTCTCAAAAAAAAAAAAATCATCAATGAAGTGAGAATATAATAAGGAATCACTGGACCTAGATCAGGAGATAACTGTGAGCAGCCTTTTGCCTTGCGAGTGTTTGCTAAAAATATTAAAGAGCAAAAATATCGATAAAGTAAAAAACAAATATGAAGGAGAAAAGATTTAGAAAGCCAAAAGTTGGGGATTTTTTCTTTTTTAAAAAATGTATTGGCTGGGGGCAGTGGCTCATGCCTGTAATCCCAGCACTTTGGGAGGCCGAGGTGGGCAGATCACAAGGTCAGGAGTTCAAGACCAGCCTGGCCAACATGGTGAAACCCCATCTCTACTAAAAAAACAAAATTAGCCAGGTGCGGTGGCGGGTGCCTATAGTCCCAGCTACTCGGAAGGCTGAGGCAGGACAATCACTTGAACCCAGGAGGCGGAGATTGCAGTGAGCCAAGATTGCGCCACTGCACGCCAGCCTGGGTGACAGAGCGAGACTCCATCTCAAAATAAAATAAAATAAAAATTATCATCTCAAATACTATTTATTCCTCCTGTCTAACTAAAACATTGTACCCTTTGACTAATATCTCCCCATTTCCCCATCACTAGCCTCTGGTAACCACTATTCTACTGCAACCTCCACTGCCACCCCCCTTCCCCCTCCCCACCCCGCCCACACCCCCACACCCCCACCCTCCTGGTTCAAGCGATTCCCCTGCCTCAGCCTCCCGAGTAGCTGGGATTGCAGGTGCCTGCCACTGTGCCTGGCTAATTTGAGTTAGATTTTTTTTTAAGATTCCATATATAAGTGAGATCATGCAGTATCTGTCTTTCTGTGCCTGGCTTATTTCACTTAGCATAATGTCCTCCGGGTTCATCCATGTTGTCATAAATAACAGAATTTGCTTCCTTTCATATATACATTTTCTTTATTCATTCGCTGATGGACACTTAGGTTGATTCCATATCCTGGCTCTGGTGAATAATGCTGCAGTAAACATGGGAGTTCAGTTGTCCCTGCAACATACTGATTTTATTTCCTTTTTTGTTTTTTTTGAGACGGAGTCTTGCTCTGTCACCCAGGCTAGAGTGCAGTGGTGCAATCTCGGCTCACTGCAACCTCCGCCTCCCAGGTTCAAGTGATTCTCCTGCCTCAGCTTCATGAGTAGCTGGGATTACAAGCATCCGCCGCCGCACCCAGCTAATTTTTGTATTTTTAATAGAGATGGGGTTTCATTATCTTGGCCAGGCTGGTCTCAAACTCCTGACCTTGTGATCCACACACCTCAGCCTCCCAAAGTGCTGGGATTATAGGCGTGAGCCACTGCACCCAGCCTGTGATTTTATTTCCTTTGAGATTAGTGGGATTGTTAGATCATCCGGTAGTTCTACTTTTTAAATTTTTGAGGAACCTCCATACAGTATTCTATAATGGCTCCTTTCTTAAAGGGAGATGTATTCTCAAGTCCTTTGCCTATTTTCTTGATTGGGTTATTTGTTTTCTTGCTATCAAGTTCCTTATATATTTTGGATATTATCTCCTTATCAGATATATAGTTTGCAAATATTTTCTCCCATTTTGTATGTTGTCCCTTAACTCTGTTGTTTCGTTTACTGTGTAGATATTTCTTAATTTGATGTAATCTCATTTGTCTATTTTTGCTTTTGTTGCCTGTGCTTTTGGAATTATATTCAAAAAATAATTGCCTACACCAATATCATGGAGCATTTCCCCTATGTTTTCTTTTCTTTCTTTTTTTTTTTTGAGATGGAGTCTCGCTCTGTCTCATATAGCTATAGCTCCAGGCTATAGTGCAGTGGCACGATCATGGCTCACTGCAATCTCTGCCTCCCGGGTTCAAGTAATTCCCCTGCCTCAGCCTCCCCAGTAGCTGGGACTACAGGCATGCACCACCACACCCAGCTAATTTTGTGTATTTTAGTAGAGACAAGGTTTCAGCATGCTGGCCAGGATTGTCTTGATCTGACCTCGTGATCCACCGGCCTCGGCCTCCCAAAGCGCTGGGATTACAGGTGTGAGCCACTGCGCCCGGCCCCCTATGTTTTCTTCTAGTAGTTTCATCATTTATAGATCTTACATTTAATTCATTAATCTATTTTGAGTTGATTTCTGTTTATGGTGTCAGATAAGGATCTAACTTCATTCTTTTACATGTGGATATCCAGTTTTCTCAGCACCATTTATTTATTGAAGAAACTCTTCTTTCCCCATTGTGTCTCTTGGCACTTTTGTCAAAAACCAATTCACTGTAAATGCATGGATTTATTTCTTGGCTCTCTATTCTGTTCCATTGGTCTCTGTCAGTTTTTATGCCAGTACTATGCTGTTTGGATTACTACAGCTTTGTAGTATATTTTGATGTCAGGTGGTATAATGCCTCCAACTTTGTTTTCTTTGATCAAGATGGCATTGGTGCCAGCCTCGTGGCTCACACCTGTAATCCAAGCACTTTGGGAGGCCAAGGCAGGTGGATAACTTGAGGTCAGGAGTTCAAGACCAGCCTGGCCAACATGGTGAAACCCCATCTCTATCAAAAAATACAAAAATTGGCTGGGCATGGTGGTACGTACCTGTAGTCTCAGCTACTCAGGAGGCTGAGGCAGAAGATCACTTGAACCTGGGAGGTGGAGGTTGCAGTGAGCAGAAATCTCACCACTGCTCTCCAGCCTGGGTGACAGAGTGAAACCCTGTCTCAAAAAAAAAAAAAAAAAAAAAAAAAAAAAGATTGCATTAGCTATTCAGGGTCTTTTGTGATTCCTTACGAATTTTATGATCGTTTTTCTGTTTCTGTTAAGAATGACATTGAAAAAAAAAGTTGAAATTTCGATAGGAATTACATAAAATCTGTAGAACACTTTGGGTAGTATAGTCATTCTAACAATATTAATGCTTCTAATCCATGAACAAGAGATATCTTTTCATTTACTTATGTCTTAAGTTTCTTTCATCAGCGATTTATAGGTTTCAGTGTAGAGATCTTTCTCCTCCTTGGTTATGTTTATTCTTAAGTATTTTGTTATTACGTATCTATTGTAAATTTTCTTGATTTCTTTTTCATGTAGTTTAGTTAGTATACAGAAAAGCTACTGATTTTTGTATGTTGATTTTGTATCTTGCAAACTTTATTGAATTCATTTATCAATTCTAGCAGTTTTTTGGTGCAGTCTTTAGAATTTTCTCTATATAAGATGTCATCTGCAAACAGAGAAAATGTACCTTTATCCTTTCCATTTTAGATATTTTTTATTTCTTTCTCTTATCTAATTGCTCTGGCTAGGACTACCAGTTTTATGTTGAATAGAAGTTGCGTGAGTCAGCACTGTTGTCTTATTCCTGATCTTAGAAGAAATGCTTTCAGCTTTTCATCGTTAAGCATGACATATTAACTGTGCACTTGTCATAAATGATCTTTATTGGGCTGGGCGTGGTGGCTCACGCCTATAATCCCAGCACTTTGGGAGGCTGAGGCACGTGGATCACTTGAGGTCAAGAGTTCAAGGCCAGCCTGGCTAACTTGACAAAATCCCGTCTCTACTAAAAATACAAAAATTAGCCGGGTGTGCTGGCACATGCCTGTAAACCCAGCTGTTTGGGAGGCTGAGGCACGAGAATCGCTTGAATCTTGGAGGCAGAGGTTGCAGCGAGCCACGATTGCACCACTGCACTCCAGCCTGGGCAACAGAGCAAGACTCCGTCTCAAAAAAATAAATAAATGGTCTTTATTTATGTTGAGGTACATTCTTTCTATAGTTAATTTGTTGAGGGGTTTTTTTTTTTATCATGAGAGGGTGTTGAATTTTGTCAAATATTCTACATTCCAAAGTTGTTCTTTAAAAAACAAAACTAGTAAAAGCTGTGGCAAGACTGATGCATGAAAAAAGGGAGAAAGCGTGGCTCACCAATGTGAGGACCAGAGAAATTGTTATCACTATAAATTTTTTTTTTTTTTTTTTTTGAGTTGGAGTTTCGCTGTTGTTGCTCAGGCTGATGTGCAGTGGCGCGATCTCAGCTCACTGCAACCTCCGCCTCTCGGGTTCAAGCAATTCTCCTGCCTCAGCCTCCCCAGTAGCTGGGAGTACAGGCGCATGCCACCACACCCAGCTAAATTTTTTTTTGTATTTTTAGTGGAGACGTGGTTTCACCATGTTGGTCAGGCTGGTCTCAAAACTCCTGACCTCAGGTGATCCACCCGCCTCAGCCCGCTCCAGAGTGCTGGGATTACCGGTGTGAGCAACCACGCCCATCTTACAAATTCTTAAAGCATTTAAAAGACAGTAAGAAAATCTTAAGAGGTGACAGCCTGCTGGCAGCCCTCGCAGCCCTCGCTCGCTCTTGGCACCTCCTCAGCCTCAGCGCCCACTCTGGCCGTGCTTGAGGAGTCCTTCAGCCCACGCTGTGCTGTGGGAGCTCCTTCCTGGGATGGCCGAGGCCGGAGCCGGCTCGGACCTGGGATGGCCGAGGCCGGAGCCGCTCAGGTTTAGGGGAGGTGTGGAGAGAGAGGTACGGGCGGGAACCAGGGCTGCGTGTGGCACTTGCAGGCCAGCTAGAGTTCTGGGTGGGCGTGGGCTTGGCGGGCCCCGTACTGGGAGCGGGCAGTGAGGGACTTAGCACCCCGGCCAGCAGCTGCGGAGGGTGCGTCGGGTACCCCAGCAGTGCCGGCCCACCGGCGCTGTGCTTGATTTCTCGTCGGGCCTTAGCTGCCTCCCCGCGGGGCAGGGCTCCGGACCTGCAGCCCGCCAAGACTGAGCCTCCCGCCCCGCCGGGCCCCTTCAAGGCCCGAGCCTCCCCGACGAGCTCTGCCCCCTGCTCCACCGCGTCCAGTCCCACTGACCGCCCAAGGGCTGAGGAGTGCGGGCACAGGGCGCGGGACTGGCAGCCAGCTCCACCTGCAGCCTGGTGCGGGATCCACTGGGTGAATCCAGCTGGGCTCATCCAGCTGGGCTCTTGAGTCTAGTGGGGATTTGGAGAACCTTTATGTCTAGCTAAGGGATTGTAGATATACCAGTCAGCACTCCGTGTCTAGCTCAAGGTTTGTAAATGCACCAATCAGCACACTGTGTCTAGCTCAAGGTTTGGTAAATGCACCAATCAGTGTTCTGTGTCTAGCTGATCTGGTGGGGACTTGGAGAACCTTTATGTCTAGCTAAGGGATTGTGAATGCACCAATCAGCACTCTGTCTAGCTCAGGGTTTGTAAATGCACCAGTCAGCACCTTGTGTCTAGCTCAGGGATTGTGAATGCACCAATCAGCACTCTGTGTCTAGCTCAGGGTTTGCAAATGCACCAATCAGCACCCTGTGTCTAGCTCAGGGTTTGTGAATGCACCAATCAGTGCTCTGTGTCTAGCTAATCTAGTGGGGACTTGGAGAACTTCTGTGTCTAGCTCAGCGATTGTAAACGCACCAGTCAGTACCCTGTCAAAACGGACCAATCAGCTCTCTGTAAAACAGACCAATCAGCTCTCTGTAAAATGGACCAATCAGCAGGATGTGGGTGGGGCCAGATAAGGCAATAAAAGCAGGCTGCCCAAGCTAGCCCTGACAACCCACCAGAGGTCCCCTTCCACTGTGTGGAAGCTTTGTTCTTTTGCTCTTTGCAATAAATCTTGCTGCTGCTCACTCTTTGGGTCCACGCTGACTTTATGAGCTGTAACACTCATGGGGGAAGATCTGCAGCTTCGCTCCTGAAGCCAGCGAGTCCACGAACCCACTGGGAGAAAAGAACAACTCCAGACGCACCGCCTTAAGAGCTGTAATAGTCAACGCCAAGGTCTGCAGCTTCACTCCTGAGCCAGCGAGACCACGAACCCACCAGAAGGAAAAAACTCCGAACACACTGGAACACCAGAAGGAACAAACTCTGGACACGCTGCCTTTAAGAACTGTAACACTCACCGTGAGGGTCCGCGGCTTCATTCTTGAAGTCAGTGAGACCAAGAACCCAGCAGTTCTGCACACAATACTATGAACAATTTTATGCTAGTAAATTGATATATTTAGATTACATGAATAATTTCTTTAAAAAAACAATAAAATTGTCACAAGAAGAATCAGAAAATCTAAATTGTCTATAACTATTGAGGATATTGAGTTCATAATTTCAAATCTTCCCACAAGAGATACCACAGGTCTCTATATTCTTCACGAGTTCTACCAGTTTTTTAAGACCAGCATAACTATATTACAAACTGACAGGGACGTCAGAAGGAAAATTTTGCAGGTCAGTCTCACTAATGAACATAGATTTTAAAATACGTATATATTAGCAGACCAAATCCAACAATATATAAATAATATATTATGATTATACTGGGTTTATTCAAGAACTAGCGGCGTAAGTGTAACAGTCCAAACACTTTGTGATCATCTTAATAGATGCAAAAAAAATTTTTGATAAAATTCAACAGCCATTAGTGTTTTAAAAAGAATAAAGAAAGCAAATGTTTACCATAGTAGGAATATAAGGGAACATCTTTAGTCTGACAGATTATCTACAAGAAAACAACATGCTTCAACTACTAGCTGTATCCCCAAGAGAACTGAAAACACATATGTCCACATGAAAACTTGAGGACAATTGTTCATTGCTACACTATTCATAACAGCTAAAATTTAGAAACAGCCTAAATGTTTGTCAACTGTTGAATGAATGTACAAAATGCTGCATAGCCATACAAGGGAATATTATTTGGTAATAAAAAGGAATGTCATACTGACACATGCTGAAAGTGTCACCACATGGATGAACCTCAAAAACATTACGTGCAGTAAAAGAAGCCAGTCACAAAAGACCACATATTGAATGATTTCATTCGTATGAAATGTCCAAAATAGACGAATCCATTGAGAAAGTACATTAGTGGTTGCCTGAAATGAAGGGGGTAAGAAGATAGGGAATGACTGTTAATGGGTACAGGGTTTCTTTATGGAGTGACTAAAATGTTCTAAAAATAGTAGTGATGGCCCTAACTAGGAATATACTAAAAACCATGGAATTGTATATTTTAAAGTATGCGTTTTATGGTACGTAAATTATATCTCGAGATAGCTGTTATTTTTTTAAATGGTGAAATACTGACAGTTTTCCCTTTCTGGGAACAAAACAGTGATGCCCACTGAAGGCCCTGGCCAGTGTGGTAAAGCAAGAAAAAGAAGAGAAACAGTTTTTCCTTCATTTTCTTATGGGAAAAAAGAAGTAAAGGAAGGAAAAACTGTTACTATTCCCAGATTATGTGGATATGTATGTAAAAAATCCAAAAGAATTTTCAGATAAATTACTAAAATTATCTTTAGAGTTTTCCAGACACACAATTAATATATAAAAATAAATAGTGGTTTGGCATCCCTGAGGTCCAGATTGCTGCTGCATGTGTGTCACTAGGAAGGCTCATGATCCTCCCTTGCTCCTGTGTAATCCACCATGCTGATGGTTCTGCTTTGTGGGGTCTTTCACTGCTGTGGCATCATGAAAGCTCTCTTGCTGGTACTTTCTCTGCTCAATGGAGCTCTACTTCAAAGAAGATCAGACAGTAAATTAATGTGAAAATTGATGCTGTCAAATTCATTAGGATTAAGACAAAACCATTATTTCAGCTCAGCAAAGGGAACAAAAGGATACCTGAAATGTGAGAGTCCCAATTAGGGGGTTGTCCACCCCATACTTGCCAGGATATTAAAGATTTTATTACTGCATATGATCACTAATGTTGGGCAAAACTTTTCTACAACACAAATGTAGTACATCAACTATCAGATTGGAAATATATTTTAATAAAAACAAGTTATACTGCCTAGAAATTAAAAAATAATTGTCTTTATACAGTGAGATAATGAAGTTAAGGAAAAGATATGTAAATATCAAGTATATTTAAAATATATCAAGTAGTTAAGAATGAAGTAACAAAAAATAGGCAAGATATCCTCAGAGAAAATTATAAAATTTTGAGAGAAGTTAAAGCTTATGGGTATTGGGAGATACCATACTCAGGGAGTGGAACATTCAGTGTTGCAAAGATAACATTTGTTCTTACACTGATCTTAGAGTTGATGAAATTCAAATCAAAATCCTAGCAGTTCACTTTTGTGTGTGTGTGTGTGTGTTATCTAGAACTTGACAAATTCTAAACTCTATAGGGAAATGTAAAGGCCAAAGAAAAGCCAAGACATTCCTGAAGAAGAACAAGGCTATAAGACTTTCTATCCCAAATATCAACACTGATTATAAACAAGCTACAGTAATTAAGGCAGTTTGGTAGTGATAGAAGGATAAACAATGGACAGTGGCACAGAAAGACAGCAAAATACTCATCACATGTAGCTACTTGATTTTCTCACGTGGACGGTTTCAAGGAACTGCGGAGGGAGACAGAAGAGACCAAACAGACCCACTCATAGGAAAATGGGCTATGGACTTGTTCTGTTGTGCTCCAGAGACCAGAACTAGAATCAATGGACAGAAACTACAAGCAGGCCGATTTGGACTTAATTAGAAAAAGAACACACTTTCTCATAACCAAAACTGTCCAGCTGAGCTACTTGATGAGGTTCCAGGGGCACAGGACAAGAATGATTTGAGTGAAAACTAGATGAAGCTGGCCCAGTGGCTCAAGCCTGTAATTCCAGCACTTTGGGAGGCCGAGACGGGTGGATCACTTGAGGTTAGGAGTTCGAGACCAGCCTGGCCAATGTGGTGAAACACCGTCTGTACTAAAAATACAAAAATTAGCTGGGCGTTGTGGCACACGCCTGTAGTCCCAGCCACTCGGGAGGCTGAGGCAGGACAATCACTTGAACCTGGGAGGCAAAGGTTACAGTGAGCCAAGATCGCGCCACTGCACTCCAGCCTGAGTGGGAGAGCATGACTCCGTCTCAAAAAAAAAAAACAAAACAAAACAAAACTAGATGACATTCTATTGAGAATTTTGCCAAAGGAATTTCCCAGACACCGGATTAGATATCATTTTATCAATAGCATCTGTGCTTCTTTGATCTGCCTCCCTAAGATAGTGCTGTTAGGCAGTGGAGAACATAGATGTACGTTCTGTCTCTGAGCAGTTCTCTTACTCCCTGAGCAAAGTTTGTTCAGGAGCCAGGCTTAGTAATAATGGCCAATGTGGACAAAGTACAGTACAGTTAGAGGCTGGGTTCTGGGTCTGGTTCTTCCATCCATAGTTCCACCAAGCCACTAGAGTCTGGAGCCTTCCCTTGAAGTCGCAGGTAACTAAAACAGACACTGAATCTCTGTACTCAGCATGATAACAGAGACAGGACACATTGATGGATTCCCCTGCATTCAGTCTAGAAGTGGAAACAAACTCATTTGAACAAATGGTGTCATTGGGCCGGGCGTGGTGGCTCACGCCTACAATCCTAGCACTTTGGGAGGCTGAGGCAGGAGGATCACGAGGTCAGGAGATCGAGACCATCCTGGCCAACATGGCGAAACCCCGTCTCTACTAAAATACACAAAATTAGCTGGGTGTGGTGGTGCGTGCCTGTAGTCCTAGCTACTTGGGAGGCTAAGGCAGGAGAGTCACTTGAACCCAGGAGGTAGAGGTTGCAGTGAGCCGAGATCGTGCCATTGCACTCCAGCCTGGGTGACAGAGTGAGACTCTGTCTCAAAAAAAAAAATGGTGTCATTGGAGGATGCTGGGTGCTGAAGTCTTCGTAAGAGGGAATAATCTAATGAAATAGTTCAGTTTCTTTTGTTTTTGAGAATTAAAATAAACTGTAAGATATGACAATTGATATAACAAGTTTTCTTAGACCTGTTTTTTTTTTGTTTAGACTTTGTTTGATTTCCTGTCCTGCTGTAGTAATATTCAGTCCAGGAGGCTGGAAGTATTTCTAGATAGTTATGCATGTAAAGGGATGTAAGGGTTGAGGCAAGAGTACAAATGAAGTTTCACATATGATATTCTAAATGTGTAAAAGTTACACCTTAAGCCAGCAAGCAGTTAAATAAATTATGTTTGATTCTCTTATCTTGAAATGTGTCCTTCATAACAACCTGGAAAGCCAGGTTCCAATTTAGAATCCTGAACTCCTCAGGATTCACTGACACCAAAACATGGTGGCTCAGGAAGGAGCCAGTACACAGCCCGCCACACTTTTCTACCCTATGCCATGACCTACTTATGCCTCAGGGCTCTTTCCCCAGCTCCATATGAGCAGCTACCCTCTGGCCCTGGGGTTGCTTGCACTAGCAGTGTGGTCTGTCTTCAGGGTGATAGAGCCAGGGAAGAGGAATGCATAAGCCCTGGAAACAAAGTTATTTGGGCAGAGAATTCCAGGCTACCAGATACTCAGAGCATTTCCTGGGGAGGTGGCTGTGGGAGAGCACATAGACATCTTGCTTAGTGGCCAAGCGGAGCCCATGTCACAAACCCCTCTTGTCCAGGTTTAAGTGTGACGCTGGGATTGGAAGCCAGGAATTATCATGAGTGGAAGCCACAGTTTCAGGCAAGAAAATTTGGGTGAGAAATATATAGTACTGTTATATAGTAAGGAGTTAAGTATAGAAGTCTTATTGTGATATAGCATACTTCCCCAAAATGACGTCTGATGCTTTTTGTTTTTTGAGATAGGGTCTTGCTCTGTCACCCAAGCTGGACTGTAGTGGCACAACCATGGCTTACTGTAGCTTCAACCTCCCAGGCTCAAACAATCCTCCCACCTTAGCCTGTCAAATGTCTGGGACTACGGGCACATACCACCACACCTGGCTAATTTATTTTATTTTATTTTATTGTTTTATTTTTCCATAAGTTATTGGGGTACAGATGGTATTTGGTTACATGAGTAAGTTGTTTAGTGGTGATTTGTGAGATTTTGGTGTACCCATCACCCAAGCAGTATACACTGCACCCTATTTGTTGTCTTTTATCCCTCACCCCACTCCCACTCTTCCCTTCAAGTCCCCAAAGTCCATTGTATCATTCTTATGCCCTTGCGTCCTCATAGCTTAGCTCCCACATATCAGTGAGAACATTCGATGTTTGGTTTTCCATTCCTGAGTAACTTCACTTAGAATAATAGTCTCCAATCTCATCCAGGTCATCCATGGTGTGTGTATATATATATAATGGAATACTATGGAGCCATAAAAAGGAATGAGTTAACAGCATTTGTTATATATATGGTGTGTGTGTATATATATATATATATATATATATATGATATATATATGTGTGATATATATGTGTGTGTATATATGTGATATATATGTGTATATATATGATATGATAGATCTATCATATATGTGATATTATAGGTCTATCATATATGTGATATGATAGATCTATCATATATGTGATATGATAGATCTATCATATATATGTGATATGATAGATCTATCATATATATGTGATATGATAGATCTATCATATATATGTGATATGATAGATCTATCATATACACACACACACACACACACACACACCCCACAGTTTCTTTATCCACTTGTTGATTGATGGGCATTTGGGTTGGTTCCATGATTTTGCAACTGTGAATTGTGCTGCTATAAACATGCATGTCTAAGTATCTTTTTCGAATAATGATTTATTTTCCTCTGGGTAGATACCCAGTAGTGGGACTGCTGGATCAACTGGTGGTTCTACTTTTAGTTCTTTAAGGAATCTCTACACTGTTTCCCATAGTGGCTGTACTAGTTTTCATTCCCACCAGCAGTGTAGAAGTGTTCCCTGTTCACCGCATCCATGCCAACATCTACTGTTTTTTGATTTTTTTATTATGGCCATTCTTGTAGGAGTAAGGTGGTATCACATTGTGGTTTTGATTTGCATTTCTCTGATTATTAGTGATGTTGAGCGTTTTTTCATATGTTTGTTGGCCATTTGTGTATCTTCTTTTGAAAATTGTCTATTCGTGTCATTAGCCCACTTTTTGATAGGATTGTTTTTTTCTTACTGATTTGTTTGAGTTCGTTGTAGATTCTGGTTATTAGTGCTTTGTCAGATGTATAGATTGTGAGGATTTTCTCCCACTCTGTGGGTTGTCTGTTTACTCTGCTGACTGTTCCTTTTGCCGTGCAAAAGCTCTTTAATTAGGTCCCAGCTATTGATCTTTGTTTTTATTGCATTTGCTTTTGGGTTCTTGGTCATGAAATCCTTGCCTAGGCCAATGTCTATTTATTTATTTTATTTTTTCCTCTTTTTTTTCTTTTTCTTTTTATTATTTTTCTTTTTTTTAAGCCAATGTCTAGAAGGGTTTTCCCAATGTTATCTTCTAGAATTTTTATAGTTTCACGTCTTAGGTTTAAGTCTTTAATCCATCTTGAGTTGATTTTTGTATAAAATGAGAGATGATGATCCAGTTTTATTCTCCTACACGTGGCTAGCCAATTATCTCAGCACCATTTGTTGAAAAGGTTGTCCTTTCCCCACTTTATGTTTTTGTTTGCTTTGTCGAAGATCAGTTGGCTGTAAGTATTTGGGTTTATTTCTGGGTTGTCTATTCTGTTCCATTGGTCTATATGCCTATTTTTATACCAGTATTATGCTGTTTTGGTGACTGTGGCCTTATAGTTTGAAATTAGGTTGTGTGATGTCTCCAGATTTGTTCTTTTTGCTTAGTCTTGCTTTGGCTATGCGGGCTCTTTTTTGGTTACATATGAATTTTAGAATTGTTTTTTCTAATTCTGTGAAAAAGGATGGTGGTATTTTGGTGGGGATTGCGTTGAATTTGTAGATTGCTTTTGGCAGTATGATCATTTCCACAATATTGATTCTACCCATCCATGAGCATGGGATGTGTTTCCATTTCTTTGTGTCATCTATGATTTCTTTCAGCAGTGTTTTGTAGTTTTCCTTGTAGAGGTCTTTCGACTCCTTGGTTAGGTATATTCCTAAATATTTTATTTATTTATTTATTTTTGCAGTTATTGTAAAAGGGATTGAGTTCTTGATTTAATTCTCCACCTGGTCCCTGTTAGTGTATAGAAGAGCTACTGATTTGTATACATTAATCTTGTTTCTGGAAACTTTGCTAAATTCTTTGATCAGTTCTAGGAGCTTTCTGGAGGAGTCCTTAGGGTTTTCAAGGTAAACGATCATATTGTCAGCAAACAGTGACAGTTTGACTTTCTCTTTACTGATTTGGATGCCCTTTATTTCTCTTGCCTGATTGCTCTGGCTAGGACTTCCAGTACTGTGTTGAAGAGGAGTAGTGAGAGTGGGCATCCTTGTCTCATTCCAGTTCTCAGAATGCTTTCAACTTTTCCCCATTCAGTATTATGTTGGCTGTGGGTTTGTCGTAGATGGCTTTTATTACATTAAGGTATTTCCCTTGTGTGCCGATTTTGTTGAGAGTTTTAATCGTAAAGCGATGCTGGATTTTGTTGAATGTTTATTCTGCATCTATTAAGATTATCATGTGATTTTTGTTTTTAATTCTTTTTTTTTTTTGAGACGGAGTTTCGCTCTTATTGCCCAGGCTGGAGTGCAATGGCACAATCTTGGCTCACTGCAACCTCTGCCTCCCAGGTTCAAGTGATTCTCCTGCCTCAGCTTCCCCAGTAGCTGGGATTACAGGCACGTGCCACCACTCCCAGCTAATTTTTTGTATTTGGTAAAGATGGGGTTTCACCATTTTGGTCAGGCTGGTCTTGAACTCCTGACCTCAGGTGATCCACCCGCATCACCCTCCCAAAGTGCTGGGATTACAGGCGTGAGCCACTGCGCCCTGCTTTTACCTTTAATTCTGCTTATGTGGTGTATCACGTTTATTGACCTGCATATGTTAAACCATCCCTGCATCCCTGGTATGAAACCCACTTGATCATGGTGGATTATCTTTTTGATATGTTGTTGGATTCTATTAGCTAGTACTTTGTGCTTTTTTGTTTTGTTTTGTTTTTTCCGAGATGGAGTCTTGATCTGTCACCCAGGCTGGAGTGCAGTGGCACAATCTCGGTTTACTGCAACCTCCGCTGCCCGGCTTCAAGCAAGTTTCCTGCCTCAGCCTCCCAAATAGCTGAGACTACAGGCGCCTGCCACTGCGCCCGGCTTATTTTTGGTTTTTTAGTAGAAATGGGGTTTCACCATGTTGGCCAGGCTGGTCTCGAACTCCTGACCTCGTGATCCATCCGCCTCGGCCTCCCAAAGTGCTGAGATTACAGGCATGAGCCACTGCGCCTGGCCTTCAGTTAGCTAGTATTTTGTTATGGATTTTAGTATCTATGTCCATCAAGGATATCGGTCTGTATTGTTTGTTGTTGTTGTTGTTGTTGTTGTTGTTGTTGTTGTGTCCTTTCCTGGTTTTGGTATTAAGGTGATGCTGGCTTCATAGAATGAGTTAGGGAGGGTTCCTTCTTTCTCTATCTTACAGAATAGTGTCAAAACGATTGGTATCAATTCTTCTTTGAATGTCTGGTAGAATTCTGCTGTGAATCCGTCTGGTCTTGGACTTTTTTTTGGAAATTTTTTTTTTTTTTTTTTTTTTTTTTTTTTTAGATGGAGTTTCGCTCTTGTTGTCCAAGCTGGAGTACAATGGCGTGATCTCAGCTCACCACACCTCTGCCTCCCAGGTTCAAGCGATTCTCCTGCCTCAACCTCCCGAGTAGCTGGGATTACAGATGCATACCACCATGTCTGGCTGATTTTTTTGTATTTTCAGTAGAAACGGGATTTCACCATGTTAGCCAGGCTGTTCTCGAACTCCTGAACTCAGGTGATCCACCCGTCTCAGCCTCCCAAAGTGCTGGGATTACAGGTATGAACCACTGCGCCTGGCCAGTAATTTTTTAATTACTATTTCAGTCTTGCTGTTTGTTATTGGTCTGTTCAGGTTATCTAATTCTTCCTGATTTATTTACAAGCTAGGAAGATTGTATTTTTCCAGGAACTTATTCATCTCTTCTAGGTTTTCTATTGTATGTGTGTATAGGTGTTCATAGTAGCCTTGAATGATCTTTTGTATTTCAGTGGTGTCAGTTGTAATATCTCCTGTTTTGTTTCTTAGTGAAGTTATTTGGATTTTCTCTCTTCTTTTCATCATTAATCTTGCTAATGGTCTATCAATTTTATTTATCTTTTCAAAGAAGCAGATTTTTGTTTCATTTATCATTTGTATTTTTTTGTTGTTGTTTCAATTTCATTTAATTCTGCTCTAATCTTGGTTATTTCCTTTCTTCTGCTGGGTCTGTGTTTCGTTTGTTCTTGTTTCTCTAGTTCCTTGAGTTGTGACCTTAGATTGTCTGTGCTCTTTCAGACTTTTTGATGTGGGCGTTTAGGGCTATGAACTTTCCTCTTAGCACCACTTTGCTATATCCCAGAGGTTTGATAGGTTGTGTCATTATTGTCATCTGGTTCAAATAATTTTTTAATTTCCATCTTGATTTCATTTTTGACCTAATGCTCATTCAGGAGCAGGTTATTTAATTTCCATGTATTTACATGGTTTTGAAGTTTCCTTTTGGAATTGATTTCCAGTTTTATTCCACTGTGGTCTGAGAGAGTGTTGGATATAATTTCAATTTTTTTAAATTTATTGAGACTCATTTTATGGCCTATCATATGGTCTATCTTGGAGAAAGTTCCATGTGCTCTTGAATAGAATGTGTATTCTGCAGTTGTTGGGTGAAATGTTCTGTATATATATCTGTTAATCCATTTGTTCCAAGGTATTGTAACAAGTATGGAAATTCCCCACTATTATTGTGTTGCTGTCTGTCTCATTTCTTAGGTCTATTAATAATTGTTTTATAAATTTGGGAGCACCAGTGTTAGGTGCAAATATGTTTAGAATTGTGATATTTTCCTGTTGGACAAGGCCTTTTACCATTATATAATGTCCCTCCTTGTCTCTTTTAACTGCTATTGCTTTAAAGTTTGTTTTGTCTGATATAAGAATAGCTACCCCTGCTCACTTTTGGTGTCTATTTGCATGAAATGCCTTTTTCTACCCCTTTACTTTAAGTGTATGTGAGTCCTTATGTGTTAAGTGAGTCTCCTGAAGGCAGCGGATAGTTGGTTAGTGAGTCCTTATCTACTCTGCTGTTGTGTATCTTTTAAGTGGAGCACTTAGGCCATTTACAGTTGCATCCATCCTGCTCTTTGTTGCCTGTGTACTTTGTGGGTTTTTTTGTTTTTTGCTTTTGCTTTTTAGCTTGTATTTTTGTTTTATAGGTCCTGTGTGATTTATGCTTTAAAGAGGTTCTATTGTCATGTATTTCCAGGATTTGTTTCAAGATTTAGAGTTTCTTTTAGCAGTTCTTGTAGTGGTGGCTTAGTAGTGGCGAATTCTCTCAGCATTTGTTTGTCTGAAAACGACTATATCTTTCCTTCACATGATGCTGAGTTTCGCTGAATACAAAATTATTGGCTGATAATTGTTTTGTTTGAGGAGTAGGGTCCCAATCCCTTCTAGCTTATAGGGTTTCTGCTGAGAAATCTGCTGTTAATCTGATAGGTTTTCCTTTGTAGGTTACCTGGTGCTTCTGTCTCACAGCTCTTAGGATTCTTTCCTTCATCTTAACTTTGGATAACCTGATGACAGTGTGCCTAGGCAAAGATCATTTTGCGATGAATTTCCCAGGTGTTCTTTGTGCTTCTTGTATTTGGATGTCTGGCTCTCTAGCTAGGCTGGGGAAGTTTTCCTCAATTATTCCCCCAAATATGTTTTTCAAGCTTTTAGAATTCTCTTCTTCCTCAGGAACACCAATTATTCTTAGGTTTGGTCGTTTAACATAATCCCAGACTTCTTGGAGGCTTTGTTCTTATTTTCTTATTCTTTTTTCTCTGTCTTTGTTGGACTGGGTTAATTCAAAGACCTTGTCTTTGAGCTCTGAATTTCTTTCTTCTACTTGTTCAGTTCTATTGCTGAGACTTTCCAGAGCATTTCGCATTTCTTTGTTTGTTTGTGTTTTGAGACAGAGTCTTGCTCTGTCGCCAGTCTGCAGTGCAGTGGCACGATCTCGTCTCACTGCAACCTCTGCCTCCCAGGTTCAAGTGATTCTCCTGCCTCAGCCTCTCGAGTAGCTGGGACTACAAGTATGCACCACCACGCCCGACTAATTTTTGTATTTTTTTAGTAGAGACGGGATTTCAACATGTTGGCCAGGATGGTCTCGATCTCCTGACCTTGTGATCCACCCACCTAGGCCTCCCAAAGTGCTGGGATTACAGGCGTGAGCCACCGCGCCTGGCCTGCATTTCGCATTTCTAAAAGTGTGTCCAAAGTTTCCTGAGTTTTTTATTGTTTTTTTCTTTAAGCTATCTATTTCATTGAATATTTCTCCCTTCACTTCTTGTATCATTTTTTTGGATTTCCTTGCTTTGGGCTTTGCCTTTCTCTGGTCCCTCCCTGATTAGCTTAATAACTAAGCTCCTGAATTCTTTTTCAGATAAATCACAGATTTCTTCTTAGTTTGGATCCATTGCTGGTGAACTAATGTGATTTTTGGGGGATGCTGAAGAGCCTTGTTTTGTCATATTACCAGGGTTGGTTTTCTGGTTCCTTCTCATTTAGGTAGGTTCTATCAGAGGGAAGGTCTAGGGCTGAAGGCTGTTATTCAGATTCTTTTGTCCCATGGGGTGTTCCCTTGATGTAGTACTCTCCTCCTTTTCCTATGGATGTGGCTTCCTGTGAGCCAAACTACAGTGATTATTGTCTTTCTTCTGGGCCTAGCCACCCAGTGAGTCTGCCCGGCTCTGGGCTGGTACTGGGGTTGTCTGTACAGAGTCTTGTGATGTGAACCATCTATGGGTCTCTCAGCCGTGGATACCAGTGCCTATTCTGGTGGAGGTGGCAGAGGGTGCAATGGACACCATGAGGGTCCTTAGCTTTGGTGATTTAATTATCTATTTTTGTGCTGGTTGGCCTCCTGTCAAGAGGTGATGCTTCCTGGAAGGCATCAGCTGTAGTAGAGTGGAAAGGGACCAGCAGTAGGCGGGGTCCTAGAATTCCCAAGACTATAGGCCCTTTGTCTTCAGCTACCAGGGTGGATAGGAAAGGACCATCAGGTGGGGACAGGGCTAGGTGTGTTTGAGCTCTCCTTGGGTGGGTCTTGCTGCGGCTGCTGTGGGGGATGGGGTGAGATTCCCAGGTCACTGGAGTTGTATACCTAGGAGGATTATGGCTTCCTCTGCTGAGTCATGCAGGTTGTCAGGGAAGTTGGGGAAAGCCGGCAGTCACAGGCCTCACCCAGTTCCCACGCAAACTGCAAACTGAAGGGCAGTTCCCCCGCCACCCAACAGCCCCAAGTCTGTTTCCAAGCAGAGGGCAAGAGGGGCTTGAAAACTTACCCGAGGCTGTCCACCTCCCAGCTGCCAAAGAAAAGGGCTCTTCCCCCGCCTCTGAAGTCTGCACACTGGATTCGCGCCCTCCCCCAGTTCTGGCCAGGAGGCTTCTTGTCCCGTTCAAATTGTTACAAAGTTCGGCTAGAGAATTCATTCTCCCTGTGGAGTTTTACCCCTGCTCCTCTGGCCGCCCTCCCGATGGATCCCTGTGGTGTCAGGCAGGAATGGGCTGCTTGGGGACCCAACGAGCTCCCAGGGCTTTTCTGCTGCTTCCTCTACCCCTGTATTTCACTGGGCTCTCTAACTTGACTCAGCTCCGGGTAAAATCGGAAACTTCTCCCGCAAACAGACCTTCAGCTTCTCCAGTGGGGGTGTGTGTTTAGGAGAGACGGGTCTCCCTTTCCCACTTCCGCAATTGGGGCACTCACAGTAGTTGGGGTGCCTCCCAGGTCCTGCAGGAGCAGTCCATTTCCCTCAGAGGGTCTGTGGGTCCTCTTGGGATTGCCAATTTATTCTTGCAGTCGATCTGGAGCTAGAATTCACAATGCAGGCCTCCAGATGATGGTCTCTCTGGAGCTATAATCTAGTCCTGCCTCCTGTCTGCCATGATCCCCTCCATCTCTTAATTTTCTTTTTTAATTTTTTTTCATAGAGATGGGGTCTCACTATGTTGCCAGGGCTGGTCTCGAACTCCTGGGCTCAAGAGATCCTCCTGCCTTAGCCTCCCAAAGTTTTGGGATTACAGGCATGAGCCACCATGCCTGCTGTCCTATGTTTTTAAATGTATTTTGCTGATGAAATAAGGGAAGCTCTACCTTAGATGTAACACAAATCAAGGAAACCAGTCTGGGCCTGGTGCAATGGCTTATGCCTGTAATCCCAGCACTTTGGAAGGCCAAAGCACAAGGATCGCTTGAGCAACAAAGCAAGACCCCATCTCTGCAAAACATTTAGAAATTAGCTGGGCAAGGTGGCACATAACTATAGTCCCTGCTACTTGGGAGGCTGAGGTGGGAGGATCAATCACTTGAGCCCAGGAGTTCAAGGCTGCAGCGAGCTATGATTGTACCATTGCACTCCAGTCTGGGTGACACAGCCAGACCCTGTCTCTAAAAGAAATGAAACAAAATGCAAGAAAACAGAAAAACGTAATCCGTCATAGTCTAGTTTGGAAGAAACAAAAAACAAACTAGATAAACATGTGAGTGGCTAGTAGGTTCTCATATCATGACTGAAGAAAGCATCATCATGAACTTGTCCATTACAGCAAAAGATCATATATCAGCATTAAAGGATGAGAAACTTAGTCACGAATCCCTTGGTGTTGCATCATGAAGTTTGCCATCTAGTCTTGGGTATGAACCCGTACCTCCCCAGTTTCCATCCTTTTGGACATGACCCAAAGCTGATTGCAAAGTCTTAATTAGACTAAACTATCTAGCATTACATTAGAGCCCAAGTGTTCAGTGGTGGACAGCGACTATGTCCAGGTTGGGTCACAGTGGAGCCTGTCTGACAGCACCCTTGAATCAGGAGCATGGCAGTTTATATAATCTTAATCTGTTCTTAGCCTACTTAAGCATCCATCAGCCAAAAATAATCTTCCTACATCCTGTTTGGCTGTCCTCAAACTGCTTTTATTCCTTCATCCCATTCTCTACTCCATTTCTTTAAAAAGTAATCTACAGGACATGCCTCCATGTATTCACCTTCCATTTATTCCTTATTCTTATTCTACCACCGTTCTGCTTCCGCATTTATGGCTCTCAGAAAACTGCAGTCTCAAAAGTCGCAGTGGCTCCAAACCTATCTATGCAGCCTTCCTTTTTCTTGTCTTTTTTTTTTTTTTTTTTTTTAAATTGGTTACCCAATTCTTGGAAGTCAATCTGCTCTTCTACTTTTCTGACTTTTTTTCTCAGTACCTCTTACTGGTTCCCCTCCACCATGACCTTTGTCCATGTCTTAAAGTTGATACTCACCTAGTTTCCTCCTGGCCCTCTTCTCTTACCATTCTTGCTCTCCCTCATGATCTGCTTCATTCATTAAGTAAGCATAAATTAGCACCTCCATTAATCACATTGCTTTAATATATGCTAATGAGTTACATACCTGTTTTAAGTTCTGAGCTCTTTCCTGAGCTTCATACACAGCTTAAATTGCCAGCTTCCATTTGGTCACCTTGGCTTTGATTTCTCCCAAGCACTGCCTCAGCACATCTATAAGAACAAGACAAACTACCATCCCTGTTCCTCCCGCAATCCCCCAAACTTGTTATTCCTTTAATATCCCTTATTGTAGATAATTCATGGAACTGCAGAAATGGAAGATTTACCTAACAATTGGTTTTAGGTCTTGGTTTTAACATTTAGCTTTTTATAAGTTTGGGCTTGGATGGATATAGTGAGTTTATATTATGTCCCTACAGCAGGAAATTGTTTTTGCATGTCTAAACCAACCTGTTTTAACACTTGTAATATTCTGGCAAGAGTTCAGGAAGAGTTTAAATTACAGCAGAAACTTTGTACAAAGAAAACCACATTTGGCATTTATAGTTTAATTTGTCTTCATAAAAACTACATTGAGTCATTTTTTACCATAAGGGTGTACATTCAAAGCTTATGTTATTCAGCATTGGAGTAGTTTTGTAGAGTTTCAAAGTAACCTAAGAGTAGACATTTTTGGTATGCTTACTGGCAGAATCAAATTCTTACCTGTTCCTGCATACAGTATACCTGACAGATGATAGGGAGAGCCAGATGGGAGAGAAACAAAGAAGCCAATATGAATGAGCACCTACTGGCTGCCAGATGCCTGGTTCTTTGCTAGGCACTGTACACGTGTAATCTCAAGAAATTCTTCAACCCAATGATGTGTGCTATTATCCTCCAGTTTACAGAGGAGGAAAACTGAAGTGTCACAGAAGCTAAATGACTTTTCAGGCTAAGTGAAAAGTCACTGGTCAGCACTTCATTCCTCCACAACAGACACTGAAAGACATGTATTCAGAAGCCTTTAAGACAAAAACTAGATGGCTTCAATGCCTGAATTTGGTAACAGATCACCGTGAAGGAGTGAGAACTGGAGTTCAAATCTCAGCTAGGCCACTTGCCTCACAGTGAGGATTGCATAAGTCACATTTCCCTTCTGGAACTCAGTTTTCTTTTTTTTCTTTTCTTTTTTTTTTTTTTGAGATGGAGTTTTGCTCTTGTTTTCCAGGCTGGAGTGCAATGGCGTGATCTTGGCTCACTGCAACCTCTACCTCCCAGGTTCAAGCGATTCTCCTGCCTCAGCCGCCTGAGTAGCTGAGATTATAGGCGCCCACCACCACGCCCAGCTAATTTTTTGTATTTTTAGTAGAGACAGGGTTTCACCATATTGGCCAGGCTGGTCTTGAACTCCTGACCTCAGGTGATCCACCTGCCTCGGCCTCCCAAAGTGCTGGGATTACAGGTATGAGCCACCGCGCCCTGCCCCAGTTTTCTTATCTTCAAAGTGAGACCATTAGAGATTTCATAGGTTGTTTCTCTTTCATATTGTAGGGTGTGGTGTCCTGGGTTTGGGAAGCAGGCAGCCACAGCCACAGCCTCCAGAACAGTTCTTTTCCCTACAATTTTCCTTCTGCAAACCCTGAAACCCATGCTTAGCGTGAGGTTTGTGAGAAAATTACACAAATGGTAGTTTTACCATTTGCTGGGAATGGGGATTCTTTTCCACTGATATACTGTCTGAAGGAGATGGCTGTAAACCAGAGTGACCACAATATTTACAAAAGTATTTAATGAAAAAGACGACTTTGGCAACCGATGTAACCCATCACTTATGGGGGGGATAAAGAGAAGTTCACTTGAGGTTTAATAAATCAAAACATAGTGTTTGTCCACAGCCTCATTTTTTCCCCATTACTGGAAGATGATATCATCATTTTCATTTCCATTAGAATCTTTTAGTGTCCAGGGGGATGAAAAATTAATATTAGCTGTTTTTATTGTGCTGTTTTTATTTTTAAAGAGAATTTTAGTTTTAATTCTGACAGATATGTGAATGGGGCTTTCAAACTGTACCCAAGGATTCATGGCATTTTTATAAGAATTGTATTGTGGAAATGACTGACTTTTCTTTTATGTGTACAAGGATTATTCTTTTAAAGCCTCAAGTCTCCACTTTTTGGTAGCCTGCTCTTTTCCTCAATCCCTGACTTAAATATCATGCCTTCCAAGAAGCATTCTCCAGCTTCACGGTGCTCCCATAGCACCCCACTTACCCTGCTACACCAGGACTCATTTCTCTCTGCTTTACGTTATGAATGGCAGTTACCATCTGTTTTCCCCAAACAGTACATAAATTCTTTGAGGATTTACACATATGTGTATCAGTGTATCATTTTTATTGAGTGCATCTTGAGTGTAATAATAAAGCATAGCTCTTACAGTCTATTAGAGTCAATAGTCTATACGAAGGGATCAAATTACTGTCTCTGTGTAAAACAGTGTGATCATTTCTGTGATTGCAGAAATGTGAAGTTATTTTGGAAATCTATAGGAGAGTACACATCTAGAGTTTTTAAAGAATTAGCAAATGGTTTAGCAGCATTTAACACAGATGATCTTTCTTCAAACACTCAATTATTTTGTTTTTTACCAAAAGAATTGGTGAGAGTGAGAGAAACTCCCTCTCTCTTGTGTCTCCCTTCTTAATCTCTTTGGCTGGTTCCTCATCCTCCCTCCCCCTCTTCCTCCCCCCTCCCTACCCCTCTTCCTCCTCCTCCTCCTCCTCCCAAAGTGGGGTGGTGTGAACATGATTGTGAGGCTGGAGGGTTGAGTGCAGGAAAGAAGTGGCCAGATCACAACAGGCTTTGGAAATGACAGTGAAGGTCTGGGACCCAAAGGCTACAGGGGAGGAACATAACCAGGTCTGCATGGTGAGGGGGGAATTATTTCTTTGTGTATTTATTTACTTAGCCAGTTACATAGCAACAGGTCTGCATTTTGGAAAAATCACTGATTGTAATGTGGTGTATGAAGTGAATGTAAGGATCAAGTCTACAGGGCATCATTTAAAGGTTACTGCATTTGCCTGGGCATAGTGGCTCACTCCTGTAATCCCAGCACTTTGGGAGGCCGAGGTGGGCAGATGACTTGAAGCCAAGAGTTCAAGACCAGCCTGGCCAACATGGAGATACCCCATCTCTACTAAAAACTACAAAAATTTAGCCAGGTGTGATGGCGCACACCTGTAATCCCAGCTGCTCGGGCGGCTGAGGCACAAGAATCACTTGAGCCTGGGAGGCAGAGGCTGCAGTGAGCCAAGATCACACCACTGCACTCTAGCCTGGGCAACAGAACAAGACTCTGTCTCAAAAAAAAAAAATAAAATAAAGGTTACTGTAGTAATCTAATAGAAAGATATTTCTTTACTAAGGTAGGGGGAATTCAAGATATCATTAGGAGGTAAAATCAACAGGACTTAAGATTTAGTTGGATGTAGGGAAAAGGAAGGAAGAGTAATCAAATATGAAGCCCAGGTTTTTGGCATGAGCAAATGCATGATAGGATAGCTATTTCCTGAGGTAAACACAGGTTTATGGAGAAAGATAATATAATCCATTCTGTGGATCAAAAGAGAAACCTGAGCTAGAGATATAAGATCCCTCAGTATGTGTGAATGGTACTGAAGCCACAAAACTGAATGAGATCATAGACCATGATTTATAACCAGGCCATCTGGCAAGGTTTACAGAAATTACAGGAACCAAAATAAGAGAATTTTAAAACTCTCCAAAATAAGCACTTTCACACATTGTTGATAGAAATGTGAATTGATAGACTCTTTATGTAGGTCATTTTATCAGCCTTTACTAAATGTTAAGCCATTCTACTTCTAGGAATCTGCCCTACGAAAATGTTTGTAGAAATGTACAAAAATCTCTTACATGGGTATTCATTTGTAGTGTATAAAGTAGTTAAAAAAATTACAAATAACCCAAATGATTATCAATAGAAGATTGGTTAAATCACAATATATTAGAGGATTCTGGGGAGATGGCAGAGTAGGCAGCACCAGGAATCTATCTCCCTACCTCAACAACAATTGCATTGGCAGAATCTATCTGATGTAACTATTTTGGAACTCTGGAGTCTATTCAACTCTTGCAGCTTCTACAGTAGGGGTGTCCAGTGTTTTGGCTTCCCTGAGTCACATTGGAAGAAGAACTGTCTTGGGCCACACATAAAATACACTAACACTATGATAGCTGATGAGCTAAAAAAAAAAAAAAAAAAAAAAAAAAAAAATCATAATGTTTTAAGAACGTTTACGAATTTTGTGTTGGGCCTCATTCAAAGTCATCCTGGGCTGCATGCAGCCCACAGGCCATGGGTTAGACAAGCTTGTTCTACAGGAAGACTAGGTCAGTAAATTGTGGTTAATTCTGGTCAATTTCAGCTCTTAACAAAGTAGTAGCTACCCAGCCCCAGGGCAGGCAGCTGTGCACCAGTTCCTGGAGTAAACTGCAGACAATTTTTGGGGGGCCAGCACTATCCTTCAAATATCAGAGATTTGTGCTCTGATTGCTATTTCTGATCACAGAGATACAGACAAAGAGGTAGGTGACTACTGTTGTAACTTCCAGAGGATGTAAACGGCTAGCACCCTGTCTCCACTTTCATTTTTTTATCTTTCCCCTTTTGGGAGCCATGCATTAAAGACTAGGAGGATTCAAAAGCAACTGCATATACAGGGACAATTAAAAAGTGACCACATATGCTCAGGGAAAGGTATTGGTCAAAATACACCTGAGAAAACCTCAAGTTTATACCTCTGGCTGATACTTGGCACAGAGACAACCTTCAACAATCAGTAAAATAAAAATAATAATAATAAAAACAGCAAACCATAGGGAAGGAAAAGAGTCTGATTCTTAGCGTTACCATATTATTAGATTCAAATGTCCAATTTTCAACAATAAAATTGTAAGACATACAAAGAAGCGGCCAAGCGTGGTGGCTCATGCCTGTAATCCCAGCACTTTGGGAGGATGAGGCAGGTGGATCACGAGGTCAGGAGTTTGAGACCAGCCTGGTCATCATGGTGAAACCCCGTCTCTACTAAAAATACAAAAATTAGCCGGGCGTGATGTCGGGTGCCTGTAATCCCAGCTACTCGGGAGGCTGAGGCAGGGAATTGCTTGAACCCAGGAGTCAGAGGTTGCAGTGACCAAAGATTGCGCCATTGCACTCCAGCGTGGGCGACAGAGTGAGTCTCCATCTCAAAAAAAAAAAACAAAAACACAAAAAGACATACAAAGTAACATAAAAATATAGCCTTTCAAAGGAAAAAAATAAATAAACAGAAACTGTCCATGAAGAAGACCTAATGGCAGATCTACTAGTTAAAGAGTTTTAAAAACTGTCTAAAGATGCTCAAAGAACTAAAGATCTGGAGAAAGTCAAGAAAATGATGTATGAACAAAATGGAAATAGCAACAAAGAGATATTAAATCTAAAACCAAAAAGAAATTTTGGAGCTGAGAACTACAATAACTGAAATGAAAAATTCACTAAAGGGATTCGAAGGCAGATTTGAGCAGGTAGAAGAAATAATCAGCAAATTTGGAGATAGGGCAATGGAAATGATCAATTCTTAGGAGCAGAAAGAAGAAAGACTGCAGAAGAATGAACAGAGCATAAGAGACTTGTGGGACACCATGAAGAGGATCAACTTATGCACTGTGGGAGTCTCAGAAGAAGACGAGAAAGAAAAAGGAACACAAAGAATATCTGAAGAATTAATGGCTGAAAACTTCCCACATTTGTTGAACAACGTGAATATAAACATCTGAGTTCAACAAACTCCAAGTAAGAAGAATTCAAAGATACACCTGTGCAAAACAGAGAAACTTGAAAGCAGCAAGAGAGAAAGCAGCACACATAAATTTCTCAGAAACTTTGGAAGGCAGAAGGCACTGGGCTGACATTTTCAAAGTGCTAAAAGGAAACAAAAGAATACAGTACCCAGCAAAAAACTCTTTCAAAAGTGAGGGAGAAATTAAGACATTCTCAGATGAACAAAAGCTGAGGGAGTATGTTACCACTACATCTGTCCTGCAAGAAATATTTAAGGGAGTTCTACAGGGTGAAATGAAAGGACCATAGACAGCAACTCAAAACAACGTGAAGAAATAAAGATCTCAATAAGGCAAATAGAGCAATTATAAAAGCTTGTATTGTAACAACTGTTTGTGATTTCACTTTTCGTTTTCAACATGATTATAAGAGACTAATACTTTTGTATTTTTTAAATTGACAATTATACATTTATGGGGTATACAGTTACATAAGATAGATATATATATATATATATATATAGATATATATATAAAGTGGTTAGTGATTAGATTAATTAGCGTATCCATCATCTCAAACATTTATCATTTCTTTGTGTTAGCAACATTCAGTATCCTTCTAGCCATTTGAAACTAAATATATTAACTATAATCATCCTACAGTAGTATAGAACACTAGAACTTATTACACTTTAAAAATATTATTAGTCTAAAAGCTAATATTATAATTTTGGTTTGTAACTTCAAACACTGCTTTCTACATAATTTAAGAAACTAATGTATTTCAAAGAATTTGTAGCTTGTGTTTTGGGACTCACTATGTATACAGATGTAATTTTGTGACAGAGCTGTTAAAGTAACAGAGATTAGGTGTGTTATTGAAGTTAAAGTGGTATAAATTCCATTTAGACTGTTATAACTTTGGGATCTTAAATGTAATTTCCAAGGTAAGCACAAAGCAAATAGCTACAGAACTTGTACAAAAGGAAACAAGAAAGGAGCTTAAATACCTCACTACAAAAAGCCAAAAAAACACAAAGGAAAAGGTAATACAGGAAATGGACAAAATAGATATAAGGAATATATAAAATAAATTGCAAAATGACAAAAGTAAATCCTTCCCTTATCAGTAATTACTTTAAATGTAACTAGATTAAGCTCTCCAATTAAAAGACAAGATTAGCAGAATGTATTTTTCTTCTTTTTTTTATTATACTTTAAGTTCTAGGATACATGTGCACTAGGGTACATGTGCACAACATGCAGGTTTGTTACATATGTATACATGTGCCATGTTGGTGTGCTGTACTCGTTAACTCAACATTTACATTAGGTATATCTCCTAATGCTATCCTTCCCCCTTCCCCCCACCGCACAACAGGCCCCAGTGTGTGATGTTCCCCACTCTGTGTCCAAGTATTCTCATTGTTCAATTCCCACCTATGAGTGAGAACATGCGGTGTTTGGTTTTCTGTTGTTGCGATAGTTTACTCAGAATGATGGTTTCCAGCTTCATCCATGTCCCTGCAAAGGACATGAACTCGTCATTTTTTATGGCTGCATAGTATTCCATGGTGTATATGTGCCACATTTTCTTAATCCAGTCTATCATTGATGGACATTTGGGTTGGTTCCAAGTCTTTGCTATTGAGAATAGTGCTGCAGTAAACATACGAGTGTATGTGTCTTTATAGCAGCATGATTTATAATCCTTTGGGTATATACACAGTAATGGGATGGCTGGGTCAAATGGTATTTCTAGTTCTAGATCCTGAGGAATCGCCACACTGTCTTCCACAATGGTTGAACTAGTTTACAGTCCCACCAACAGTGTAAAAGTGTTCCTATTTCTCCACATCCTCTCCAGCACCTGCTGTTTCCTGACTTTTTAATGATTGCCATTCTAACTGGTGTGAGATGGTATCTCACTGTGGTTTTGATTTGCATTTCTCTGATGGCCAGTGATGATGAGCATTTTTTCATGTGTCTGTTGGCTGCATAAATGTCTTCTTTTGAGAAGTGTCTGTTCATGTCCTTTGCCCACTTTTTGATGGGGTTGTTTTTTTCTTGTAAATTTGTTTAAGTACTTTGTAGATTCTGGATATTAGCCCTTTGTCAGATGGGTAGATTGTAAAAATTTTCTCCTATTCTGTAGGTTGCCTGTTCACTCTGATGGTAGTTTCTTTTGCTGTGCAGAAGCACTTTAGTTTAGTAGATCCCATTTGTCAATTTTGGCTTTTGTTGCCATTGCTTTTGGTGTTTTAGTCATGAAGTCCTTGCCCATGCCTATGTCCTGAATGGTATTGCCTAGGTTTTCTTCTAGGATTATTATGGTTTTAGGTCTAACATTTAAATCTCTAATTCATCTTGAATTAATTTTTGTATAAGGTGTAAGGAAGGGATCCAGTTTCAGCTTTCTACATATAGCTAGCCAGTTTTCCCAGCACCGTTTATTAAATAGGGAATCCTTTCCCCATTTCTTGTTTTTGTCAGGTTTGTCAAAGATCAGATGGTTGTAGATGTGTGGTATTCTTTCTGAGGGCTCTGTTCTGTTCCATTGGTCTATATCTCTGTTTTAGTACCAGTACCATGCTGTTTGGTTACTGTAGCCTTGTAGTATAGTTTGAAGTCAGGTAGCATGATGCCTCCAGCTTTGTTCTTTTTGCTTAGGATTGTCTTGGAAATGCGGGCTCTTTTTTGGTTCCATATGAACTTTAAAGTAGTTTTTTCCAATTCTGTGAAGAAAGTCATTGGTAACTTGATGGGGATGGCATTGAATCTATAAATTACCTTGGGCAGTATGGCCATCTTCATGGTATTGATTCTTCCTATCCATGAGCATGGAATGTTCTTCCATTTGTTTGTGTCCCTTTTTATTTCGTTGAGCAGTGGTTTGTAGTTCTCCTTGAAGAGGTCCTTCACATCCCTTGTAAGTTGGATTCCTAGGTATTTTATTCTCTTTGAAGCAATTGTGAATGGGAGTTCACTCATGATTTGGCTCTCTGTTTGTCTGTTATTGGTGTATAGGAAGGCCTGTGATTTTTGCACATTGATTTTGTATCCTGAGACTTTGCTGAAGTTGCTTATCAGCTTAAGGAGATTTTGGGCTGAGATGATGGGGTTTTCTAAATATAAAATCATGTCATCTGCAAATGGGACAATTTGATTTCCTTTTTTCCTAATTGAATACCCTTTATTTCTTTCTCCCGCCTGATTGCTCTGGCCAGAGCTTCCAACACTATGTTGAATAGGAGTGGTGAGAGAGGGCATCCCTGTCTTGTGCCAGTTTTCAAAGGGAGTGCTTCTAGTCTGCCCATTCAGTATGATATTGGCTGTGGGTTTGTCATAGATAGCTCTTATTATTTTGAGATATGTCCCATCAATACCTAGTCTATTGAGAGTTTTTGGCATGAAGGGCTGTTGAATTTTGTTGAAGGCCTTTTCTGCATCTATTGAGATAATCATGTGGTTTTTGTCTTTAGTTCTGTTTATATGCTGGATTACATTTATTGATTTGCATATGTTGAACCAGCCTTGCATCCCAGGGATGAAGCCCACTTGATCATGGTGGATAAGCTTTTTGATGTGCTGCTGGATACGGTTTGCCAGTATTTTATTGAGGATTTTTGCATCAATGTTCATCAGGGATATTGGTCTAAAATGCTCTTTTTTTGTGGTGTCTCCACCAGGCTTTGGTATCAGGATGATGCTGGCCTAATAAAATGAGTTAGGGAGGATTCCCTGTTTTTCTGTTGTTTGAAATGGTTCCAGAAGGAATGGTACCAGCTCCTCTTTGTACCTCTGGTAGAATTCGGCTGTGAATCCGTCTGGTCCTGGACTTTTTTTGGTTGGTAGGCTATTAATTATTGCCTCAATTTCAGAGTCTGTTATTGGTCTATTAAGAGATTCAACTTCTTCCTGGTTTAGTCTTGGGAGGGTGTATGTGTCCAGGAATTTATCCATTTCTTCTAGATTTTCTAGTTTATTTGCATAGAGGTGTTTATAGTATTATCTGATAGTAGTTTGTATTTCTGTGGGATTGGTGGTGATATCCCCTTTATCATTTTTTATTGCATCTATTTGATTCTTCTCTCTTTTCTTCTTTATTAGTCTTGCTAGCAGTCTATCAATTTTGTTGATCTTTTCAAAAAACCAGCTCCTGGATTCATTGATTTTTTTGAAGGGTTTTTTGTGTCTCTATCTCCTTCAGTTCTGCTCTGATCTTAGTTATTTCTTGCCTTCTGCTAGCTTTTGAATGTGTTTGCTCTTGCTTCTCTAGTTCTTTTAATTGTGATGTTAGGGTGTCGATTTTAGATCTTTCCTGCTTTCTCTTGTGGGCATTTAGTGCTATAAATTTCGCTCTACACACTGCTTTAAATGTGTCCCAGAGATTCTGGTATGTTGTGTCTTTGTTCTCATTGGTTTCAAAGAACATCTTTATTTCTGCCTTCATTTCGTTATGTACCCATTAGTCATTCAGGAGCAGGTTGTTCAGTTTCCATGTAGTTGAGCGGTTTTGAGTGAGTTTCTTAATCCTGAGTTCTAGTTTGATTGCACTGTGGTCTGAGAGACAGTTTGTTATAATTTCTGTTCTTTTACATTTGCTTAGGAGTGCTTTACTTCCAACTATGTGGTCAATTTTGGAGTAAGTGCAATTTGGTGCTGAGAAGAATGTATATTCTGTTGATTTGGAGTGGAGAGTTCTGTAGATGTCTTTTAGGTCTGCTTGGTGCAGAGCTCAGTTCAATTCCTGGATATCCTTGTTAACTTTCTGTCTGATTGATCTGTCTAATGTTGATAGTGGGGTGTTAAAGTCTCCCATTATTATTCTGTGGGAGTCTAAGTCTCTTTGTAGGTCTCTAAGGGCTTGCTCTATGAATCTGGGTGCTCCTGTATTGGGTGCATATATATTTAGGATAGTTAGCTCTTCTTGTTGAATTGATCCCTTTACCATTATGTAATGGCCTTCTTTGTCTCTTTTGACCTTTGTTGGTTTAAAGTCTGTTTTATCAGCAACTAGGATTGCAACTCCTCTTTTTTTTTTTTTTTTTGTTTTCCATTTGCTTGGTAGATCCTTCTCCATTCCTTTATTTTGAGCCTATGTGTGTCTCTGCACATGAGATGGGTCTCCTGAATACAGCACACAGATGGGTCTTGACTCTTTATCCAATTTGCCAGTCTGTGCCTTTTAATTGGAGCATTTAGCCCATTTACATTTAAGGTTAATACTTTTATGTGTGAATTTGATCCTGTCATTATGATGTTAGCTGGTTATTTTGCTGGTGAGTTGATGCAGTTTCTTCCTAGCATTGATGGTCTTTACAATTTGGCACGTTTTTGCAGTAACTGGTACCGGTTGTTCCTTTCCACATTTAGTGCTTCCTTCAGGAGCTCTTGTAAGGCAGGCCTGGCAGTGACAAAATCTCTCAGCATTTGTTTGTCTGTAAAGGATTTTATTCCTCCTTCACTTATGAAGTTTAGTTTGGCTGGATATGAAATTCTGGGTTGAAAATTCTTTTCTTTAAGAATGTTGAATATCGGCCCCCACTCTCTTCTTGCTTGTAGAGTTTCTGCCGAGAGATCCGCTGTTAGTCTGATGGGCTTCCCTTTGTGGGTAACCCGACCTTTCTCTCTGGCTGCTCTTAACATTTTTTCCTTCATTTCAGCTTTGGTGAATCTGACAATTATGTGTCTTGGAGTTGCTCTTCTCGAGGAGTATCTTTGTGGCGTTCTCTGTATTTCCTGAATTTGAATGTTGGCCTGCCTTGCTATGTTGGGGAAGTTCTCCTGGATAATATCCTGCAGAGTGTTTTCCAACTTGGTTCCATTCTCCCCGTCACTTTCAGGTACACCAATCAGATGTAGATTTGGTCTTTTCACATAGTCCCATATTTCTTGGAGGCTTTGTTCATTTCTTTTTATTCTTTTTTTCTCTAAACTTCTCTTCTCACTTCATTTCATTCATTTGATCTTCAATCACTGATACCCTTTCTTCCACTTGATCAAATCGGCTACTGAGGCTTGTGCATGTGTCATGTAGTTCTTGTGCCATGGTTTTCAGCTCCATCAGGTCATTTAAGGTCTTCTCTATGCTGTTTATTCTAGTTAGCCATTCGTCTAATCTTTTTTTCAAGGTTTTTAGCTTCTTTGCGATGGGTTCGAACATCCTCCTTTAGCTCAGCAAAGTTTGTTATTACCAGTCGTCTGAAGCCTTCTTCTCTCAACTCGTCAAAGTCATTCTCCGTCCAGCTTTGTTCCCTTGCTGGCGAGGAGCTGCGTTCCTTTGGAGGAGAAGAGGCGTTCTGATTTTTAGAATTTTCAGCTTTTCTGCTCTGGTTTCTCCCCATCTTTGTGGTTTTATCCACCTTTGGTCTTTGATGATGGTGACGTACAGATGGGGTTTTGGTGTGGATGTCCTTTCTGTTTGTTAGTTTTCCTTCTAACAGTCAGGACCCTCAGCTGCAGGTCTGTTGGAGTTTGCTGGAGGTCCACTCCAGACCCTTTTTGCCTGGGTATCACCAGCGGATGCTGCAGAACAGCAAATATTGCAGAAGGGCAAATGTTGCTGCCTGATCCTTCCTCTGGAAGCTTTGTCTCAGAGGGGCACTGGGCTGTATGAGGTGTCAGTCGGCCCCTACTTGGAGGTGTCTCCCAGTTAGGCTACTCGGGGGTCAGGGACCCACTTGAGAAGGCGGTCTGTCCGTTCTCAGATCTCAAACTCCGTGCTGGGGGAACCACTGCTCTCTTCAAAGCTGTCAGACAGGGATGTTTAAGTCTGCAGAAGCTTCTGCTGCCTTTTGTTCAGCTATGCCCTGCCCCGAGAGGTGGAGTCTACAGAGGCAGGCAGGCCTACTGAGCTGCAGTGGGCTCCACCCAGTTCGAGCTTCCCGGCTGCTTTGTTTACCTACTCAAGCCTCAGCAATGGCGGATGCCTGTCCCCCAGCCTCGCGGCCGCCTTGCAGTTGGATCTCAGACTGCTGTGCTAGCAGTGAGCGAGGCTTCGTGGGCATGGAACCCTCTGAGCCAGGCGCGGGATGTAATCTCCTGGTGTGCCGTTTGCTAAGACCGTTGGAAAAGCATAGTATTAGAGTGGGAGTGTCCCGATTTTCCAGGTACCATCTGTCACAGCTTCCCTTGGCTAGGAAAGGGAATTCCTTGACCCCTTGCACTTACCAGGTGAGGCGATGCCCCACCCTGCTGCATGGGCTGCACCCACTGTCCGACAAGCCCTAGTGAGATGAACCCGGTACCTCAGTTGGAAATGCAGAAATCACCCGTCTTCTGCATCGCTCACGCTGGGAGCTATAGACTGGAGCTGTTCCTGTTCAGCCATCTTGGAACCTCCCCCCAGAATGTATTTTTTTTAATGATGTAACTATAGGCTGTCTACAAGTTAAATTATGTTTACAGATTATGTGATCTATATGTAAAAAACTAAGGATTCTACCCCCAAAAACCTGTGAAAACAAATAAATTCAGCAAAGTAGCAGAATACAAAGTGAACACACTAAAATTGGTTAGAAAAACAATAACAAAAATGGGTTGGATTTCTATACACTAACAGTGAACAATATCTGGAAAGGAAATTACAAAAACAATTTTGTTACAATAGCATAAAAAAAGAATAAAATACCTAGGAATTAACCAAGAAGGTGAAAGATTTGTACAATGAAAACTTCAAAACATTGCTGAAAGAAAATAAGACATAAATCAGTGGAAACACGTCCCAAATTCATGGATTGGAAGACTCTGTGTTAAGATGTCAGTACTACTCAAAGCAATCTACAGATTCAATGAAATCTCTATCAAAATTCCAGTGATGTTTTTCGCAGAAATAGAAAAACTCATTCTAGAATTCACATGGAATCTCAAGGGACCCTGAGTAGCCAAAACAATCTTCAAAAAGAACAAAGCTGGAGGACTCATTTCTTAATTTCAAAACTTACTACAAAGCTACAATAATCAAAACAATGTAGGACTGATTTAAAGACAGACATTGGCTAATGGAATAGAATACAGAGTCCAAAATGAACCCACCCGTACTTAGTCAAATGAATTTTGACTAATGTGCCAAGACCATTCAATGGGGAAATGACATTCATTTAACACATGGTGCCTGGAAATCTGGATATCCACATGCAAAAGTATGAAGTTGGAACCTTAGCTAACACCATATACAAAAATTAACTCAAAATGGATCAAAGACCTACATGTAAAACCTAAAAGTATAATAGTCTTAGAAAACAGGAAAAGCTTCACTACATTGGATTTGGCAAGTGATTTCTTAGATATGACAGCAAAGGTATAGTCAACTTAAGGAGAAGAGACAGATTGGACTTAGTGAAAATGTAAAAGTTTTGTGTACTAACAGACATTATGAACAGTGAAAAGGCAACTCACAAATAGGACAAAATTTTGCAAATCATGTATCTGATAAGGGATTATAATACAGAATATAAAGAGAACTCCTAAAACTCAACACCAAAACAACTCTGTTCAAAAATGGGCAAAGGACTTGAATAGACATTTCTCCAAGAACATATACACAAATGGCCATTAAGTACATGAAGAGATGCTCAACATCACTAATCATTAGGGAGCTACAAATTAAAATACAGTGAGATACCACCTCACACCCATTAGAATGTCTCCTATCCAGGCTGGGCGCGGTGGCTCACGCCTGTAATCTCAGCACTTTGGGAGGCCAAGGCAGGCAGATCACGAGGTCAGGAGTTCAAGACCAGCCTGGCCAACATGGTGAAACCCCGTGTCTACTGAAAGTACAAAAATTAGCTGGGCATGATGGCGTACACCTGTAATCCCAGCTACTTGTGGGGTTGAGACAGGAGAATTGCGTGAACCTGGGAGGTGGAGGTTGCAGTGAGCCGAGATTGCACCACTGCTCTCCAGCCTGGGTGACAGAGTGAGACTCCATTTCAAAAAAAAAAAGAATGTCTCCTATCCAAAAAACAGAAAATAACAAGCACTGGCAAGAAAGTAGAAAAATTAGAACCGTTGCGCGCTGTTATAGTAGGGATATAAAATGGTACAGCTGCTATAGAAAACAGCATAGCAGTTCCTAAGAAAATTAAAAATAGAATTACCATGTGATCCACTGATTTCACCTGAGGTACATGCCAGAATAACTGAAAGCAGAGTCTTCAGATATTTCTACCCCTATGTTCACAGCAGCATTATTCACCGTAGCTATAACATTGGAAGCAATCCAAGTGTTCATCAAAGGATAAATAGATAAACAAATGCAGTCTGTCCATATAATGGAATATTATTCAGCTTAAAAAGGAAGGAAATTCTGATATGTGCTACAAAATGGATGAAGTTTGTGGACATTATGCTAAGTGATATAGCCAGTCACAAAAAGACAAATACTGTATGATTTCACTTACATGAGGTACTTAGAGTAGTCTAAATAGGAGAGATTTAGGGTGGTTGCTAAAGGCAAAGGGAGGAAGGAATGGGGAGTCAGTGTTTAATAGGTGTCAAGTTTCGATTTTACAACAGGAAAACAGTTATGAAAATGGACAGTGGTGATGGTTGCACAACATTATGAATATATTTAATAGCACTAAACTTAAACCACTTAAAAGTGGTTAAGATGATAAATTTTATGTTATCTGTATTTTACAACAATAATTTTTAAAAATCATAATGCATTGTATGCCTGTTTGTTGATGTGGGATATTTATTATGGGATATGTATATCTATTGATATCTCATATCAATAAATAGGCATACAATGCATTAAGATTTAAATAATAATTGTTATATATAATGTTTATTATTTAAATCATAATGCATTACATGTGTATACATAATGGCTTAAATATGATTTAAATCATATTTTGGCAGTGTCTCAGCCTCTCCCAAAGTGTACAGATTATTACAGGCATGAGCCACCATGCCAGGCCAGAATATATCTTGGAAACAGTAAATAAGTAGTATGTATGGCAGGTAAAGACAGACAACTCAGTATGAAAATAGGTAAGCAATTTGATCAGACCGTTTGCACCAAAAATACTAACAAAATTCAAATGGTGAGTAAACAAATGTAAGTGTTAAATCCATTAATAAAAGAAAAGCAATTTTAAATCATTATGAGATTCCATAGCATACCTACCAGAATGGTGGGTATTAAAAAGAATATTAAAAAGACTAACCCTGCCAATTATTAGGATATGGAACAATAGATATTCTCATATACTGCTGATGGAACTGTAAACTGACAAAAATACTTAGACATTATCTGTAAAATTTGAAGATTCACATATCCCTAGGTGTGTGTGTATATATATATCCAAAGAAACATGTGCACATGTATATCAAGAAACACGCACAGGGGCTGGGTGCAGTGGCTCACGGCTGTAATCCCAGCACTTTAGGAGGCTGAGGCAGGCTGATCACTTGAGGCCAGGAGTTCAAGACCAGCCTGGCCAACATGGCAAAACCCTGTCTCTACTAAAAATACAAAATATTAGCTGGGCATGGTGGCGGGCACCTGTAGTCCTCACTACTCGGGAGGCTGTGATGTATTCTTATTATGAAATACCATTTAGAATTGAGAAGAACAACACCATGGAGCTACATACGACATCATAAATGAATCTCCCAAACAAAATACTGAGCAATATAAGTCAAAATATATGTTTTATGATTCTATATACATGAAGTTTAGAAACAGGCAAAAAAATAAGCTTTCTTGTTTAGGGGTGCATACTTAAGTAAGGAAAAAATCTAAGGGAAAAGAAAAGCAAGGAAGGTATTTGTAGAAAAATCAAGATAGCTGGGCATAATGTTATGCCCCTATAGTCCCAGCTACTTGGAAGCTGAGGTGGGAAGATTGAGCCCAGGAGTTCAAGTCTGGCCCGGGCAACACAGGGAGACCCTATCTTTTATTTATTTATTTATTTATTTATTATTATTATACTTTAAGTTTTAGGGTACATGTGCACAATGTGCAGGTTAGTTACATATGTATACATGTGCCATGCTGGTGCACTGCACCCACTAACTCATCATCTACCATTAGGTATATCTCCCAATGCTATCCCTCCCCCCTCCCCCCACCCCACAACAGTCCCCAGAGTGTGATGTTCCCCTTCCTGTGTCCATGTGTTCTCATTGTTCAGTTCCCACCTATGAGTGAGAATATGCAGTGTTTGGTTTTTTGTTCTTGCAATAGTTTACTGAGAATGATTATTTCCAATTTTATCCATGTCCCTACAAAGGACATGAACTCGTCATTTTTTATGGCTGCATAGTATTCCATGGTGTATATGTGCCACATTTTCTTAATCCAGTCTATCATTGTTGGGCATTTGGGTTGGTTCCAAGTCTTTGCTATTGTGAATAATGCCGCAGTAAACATACGTGTGCATGTGTCTTTATAGCAGCATGATTTATAGTCCTTTGGGTATATACCCAGTAATGCGATGGCTGGGTCTAATGGTATTTCTAGTTCTAGATCCCTGAGGAATTGCCACACTGACTTCCACAATGGTTGAACTAGTTTACAGTCCCACCAACAGTGTAAAAGTGTTCCTATTTCTCCACATCCTCTCCAGCACCTGTTGTTTCCTGACTTTTTAATGACTGCCATTCTAACTGGTGTGAGATGGTATCTCATTGTGGTTTTGATTTGCATTTCTCTGATGGTCAGTGATGGTGAGCATTTTTTCATGTGTCTGTTGGCTGCATAAATGTCTTCTTTTGAGAAGTGTCTGTTCATGTCCTTTGCCCACTTTTTGATGGGGTTGTTTGTTTTTTTCTTGTAAATTTGTTGGAGTTCATTGTAGATTCTGGATATTAGCCCTTTGTCAGATGAGTAGGTTGCGAAAATTTTCTCCCATTCTGTAGGTTGCCTGTTCACTCTGATGGTAGTTTCTTTTGCTGTGCAGAAGCTCTTTAGTTTAATTAGATCCCATTTGTCAATTTTGTCTTTTGTTGCCATTGCTTTTGGTGTTTTAGACATGAAGTTCTTGCCCATGCCTATGTCCTGAATGGTAATATCTAGGTTTTCTTCTAGGGTTATTATGGTTTTAGGTCTAACGTTTCAGTCTTTAATCCATCTTGAATTGATTTTTGTATAAGGTGTAAGGAAGGGATCCAGTTTCAGCTTTCTACATACGGCTAGCCAGTTTTCCCAGCACCATTTATTAAATAGGGAATCCTTTCCCCATTGCTTGTTTTTCTCAGGTTTGTCAAAGATCAGATAGTTGTAGATATGCAGCATTATTTCTGAGGGCTCTGTTCTGTTCCATTGATCTATATCTCTGTTTTGGTACCAGTACCATGCTGTTTTGGTTACTGTAGCCTTGTAGTATAGTTTGAAGTCAGGTAGTGTGATGCCTCCAGCTTTGTTCTTTTGGCTTAGGATTGACTTGGCGATGAGGGCTCTTTTTTGGTTCCATATGAACTTTAAAGTAGTTTTTTCCAATTCTGTGAAGAAAGTCATTGGTAGCTTGATGGGGATGGCATTGAATCTATAAATTACCTTGGGCAGTATGGCCATTTTCACGATATTGATTCTTCCTACCCATGAGCATGGAATGTTCTTCCATTTGTTTGTATCCTCTTTTATTTCGTTGAGCAGTGGTTTGTAGTTCTCCTTGAAGAGGTCCTTCACATCCCTTGTAAGTTGGATTCCAAGGTATTTTATTTTCTTTGAAGCAATTGTGAATGGGAGTTCACTCATGATTTGGCTCTCTGTTTGTCTGTTATTGGTGTATAAGAATGCTTGTGATTTTTGTACATTGATTTTGTATCCTGACACTTTGCTGAAGTTGCTTATCAGCTTAAGGAGATTTTGGGCTGAGACAATGGGGTTTTCTAGATATACAATCATGTCATCTGTAAACAGGGACAATTTGACTTCCTCTTTTCCTAATTGAATACCCTTTATTTCCTTCTCCTGCCTAATTGCCCTGGCCAGAACTTCCAATACTATGTTGAATAGGAGTGGTGAGAGAGGGCATCCCTGTCTTGTGCCAGTTTTCAAAGGGAGTGCTTCCAGTTTTTGCCCATTCAGTATGATATTGGCTGTGGGTTTGTCATAGATAGCTCTTATTATTTTGAGATACGTCCCATCAATACCTAATTTATTGAGAGTTTTTAGCATGAAGGGTTGTTGAATTTTGTCAAAGGCCTTTTCTGCATCTATTGAGATAATCATGTGGTTTTTGTCTTTGGTTCTGTTTATATGCTGGATTACATTTATTGATTTGCTTGTATTGAACCAGCCTTGCATCCCAGGGATGAAGCCCACTTGATCATGGTGGATAAGCTTTTTCATGTGCTGCTGGATTCGGTTTGCCAGTATTTTATTGAGGATTTTTGCATCAATGTTCATCAAGGATATTGGTCTAAAATTCTCTTTTTTGGTTGTGTCTCTGCCCGGCTTTGGTATCAGGATGATGCTAGCCTCATAAAAAGAGTTAGGGAGGATTCCCTCTTTTTCTGTTGATTGGAATAGTTTCAGAAGGAATGGTACCAGTTCCTCCTTGTAGCTCTGGTAGAATTCGGCTGTGAATCCATCTGGTCCTGGACTCTTTTTGGTTGGTAAGCTATTGATTATTGCCACAATTTCAGCTCCTGTTATTGGTCTATTCAGAGATTCAACTTCCTCCTGGTTCAGTCTTGGGAGAGTGTATGTGTCAAGGAATTTATCCATTTCTTCTAGATTTTCTAGTTTATTTGCATAGAGGTGTTTGCAGTATTCTCTGATGGTAGTTTGTATTTCTGTGGGATCGGTGGTGATATCCCCTTTATCATTTTTTATTGCATCTATTTGATTCTTCTCTCTTTTTTTCTTTATTAGTCTTGCTAGCGGTCTATCAATTTTGTTGATCTTTTCAAAAAACCAGCTCCTGGATTCGTTAATTTTTGAAGGGTTTTTTGTGTGTCTATTTCCTTCAGTTCTGCTCTGATTTTAGTTATTTCTTGCCTTCTGCTAGCTTTTGAATGTGTTTGCTCTTGCTTTTCTAGTTCTTTTAATTGTGATGTTAGGGTGTCAATTTTGGATCTTTCCTGCTTTCTCTTGTGGGCATTTAGTGCTATAAATTTCCCTCTACACACTGCTTTGAATGTGTCCCAGAGATTCTGGTATGTTGTGTCTTTATTCTCGTTGGTTTCAAAGAACATCTTTATTTCTGCCTTCATTTCGTTATGTACCCATTAGTCATTCAGGAGCAGGTTGTTCAGTTTCCATGTAGTTGAGCGGTTTTGAGTGAGATTCTTAATCCTGAGTTCTAGTTTGATTGCACTGTGAGAGACCCTGTCTTTTAAAAATAAGTACATAAATATCAAGATACTTACTACTTTAGCAGAAAACGAGAGGTATATGATGGGGAAGAGGAATGCCAGGGTACTTCTGGGGTGTTGGCAAGATTCTGTTAAGCCATATTACATTTTGTGTTTTTTTCTGCATTCTATAAGACATACATTATAGTTTATGCATTATAAAAATCTGTGTCAAGAAACCAAATAAGATCCAAAATATATATATATAAAGAAACTCACACCTAAATATAATTTAATGGAACTGCAGTGACCAAAGATGAAACGAAGATCTTTGAAGCATCCAAAGGAATGGATTGGCTATATTGGCAAACTCTGATCCTTCAACAGCAGCAATGGAAACCAGGAAGCAGTGGTAGCTTCGTTACTCTCAGAGAAAATAATAGCATACTTCCTATACCCAGCAAATACTGTCTTTCAGAATGAAAGTGAAATAAAGAGAATGTTAGATTAAATAGAAACTGAGAGAATTTACCTCCAATAGACACACATTTTAGAATGAAAGGATCATCTCCAAGTAGAAGGAAAATGATCCAAGAAGGAAGGTTTGAGGTGCAAGAAGGAATAAAAAGCAAAGAATAAGGTAAATATGTCAAACAGTGACTGTATAACATAATCATAATGATGTCATATGAGAGGCTTTTTAAGCTAGCATTCAAAAATACACAGTAATACAAGGTTGCTTGAAATTAAAATGTTCTGAATTCTTGTGTTCAAGAGGAGGACTGAGACATCCATTTGTTTAGACTTTGATGAGTATAGATGATAAAATGTCTAAGGTAACCCCTTAACAAAAATAAGGTATGTGACTTTTCAGCTAACACAGGGGAAAAACACTTGGTGGTGTTTTGTTTTGTTTTGTTTTGTTTTGTTTTGTTTTGTTTTGAGACAGGATCTCCCTTTGTCACTCAGGCTGGAGTGCAGTGGCATGATCTTGGCTCACTGAAGCCTCAACCTCCTGGGCTCAAGTAATCCTCCCACCTCCGCCTCCCAAGTAGCTGAGACTACAGGCACATGCCACCATGCCCGGCTAATTTTTTTGTATTTTTTTTGTAAAGTTGGGGTTTTGCCGTGTTGCCCAGGCTGGTCTCGAACTCCTGAGCTCAGGTGACCTGCCTGCCTTGGCCTGCCAAAGTGCTGGCATTACAGGCATGAACTACCACACCTGGCCCAAAGACACAGTTTTAAAAAGCTGATAAAGAAAGCAAAAAGGAAAAAAATAATTTTAAAACAATTTAAAAAGTCAATTGTGGGACATCCAGATAGAACAGAATGAAGAGGTCAGTGATCCTCTTCCCAAGATAACAAGTGTAAAACTGAAAAATTCACTAAAATAATTGCTTAGGGCCCTGGAGATTGACAAAAGGTAAAGAAAAAATAATGTGGAGCCTGATTCTGCCCTCTCTTTTATTATCTGTGTTCAATAACGGTGTCCTTTCTGGAAAAAAAAAAAAGACACCCAACCCCATTCCATATTCCTCATTGTCACTATGTAATGGAATAGAAAAAGGGGACTGTTGTATTGTTAAGATTCTTTTTGGTGGCAAGTAATAGAAACAACACTTCAAATAAGCCCTAGTACGCAAGGGAATGTATTGGAAGGGCACTGAAGAATATCCTGCTCTCAAAGGGCAGGAAGAGTAGAACGACTCCCTAGGGCCTGGGAAGAGGAATGGGGATACTCTTGTGGCCCACCGAGTCTTCAGATTCTCTATCTTGCTTTCTTTTTCTGAGGTCTTGTGTTCTCTTAGCCTCACCACTTTCTGTAAGTCTACTTTACTCTCCTCTCCCAAAAGGTGTTGTCTTCTGCAGAACAGCTTTCACTGTGTTTGACAGGCACATGGCAAAATGATGCATCTATATGTCTTCAGTTTAAGCAACTTCCCAGACTGGTGGTCGGATTCTCAATGTGAAGTTTCTCCAAGACAGTCTGATTGGGTCGTCTTGGGTCATGTGTCCATCCTTGGTCTCATCAATTATTATCTGTGGGATCAAGATCAAATTGTACAAGCATGGCTGGGTGGTGGTGATATACACTAGTATAGAGTTAAACATATTCAGCAGAAGAATATTCATGTAGACTACCCTATAAAAAGCCTTTGTAACAAACAGAAAAGTTAGTGTTTAATATAACTTTATTCAGTCAACATGCATTTATCTTTACTTCCTGAAGAGAACATCCTTTGTATTGTTGGACTGCTTTACTGTGTAACCTAGTGCAAGCTTTGTACCTATTAATCTGTCGGTATGTATTGGTTTGATTATTTTCTGTTTCATTCACTTATAGCATATTTGTAAATGCTTACAGGAATCTTGTAGGTTTTAACTCTATCTCACAAGTATCATTCTTAAACTAATATATGAGGTTCAAAGATTATGGGTGCTTTATTTCATTCTTAGCATTTTTTTCTGAATATGTGCTTAAATTACAGAGGAGTGGGGTTTTTTTTTTCTTCTTTTTTGGAGGGTAGATTAAAACCATTAGCTATACTTAGGCATAGTCCTCAGTGGATAAGAGTTGTTTTGCTTTCAAAATTTTCAAGCAGGCTTTAGTGAAACAAACAATATTTTCACTATGAAATCACCAGCATGCTAGCTGGAAGAGCTGTGCCATCATCTGTTTATGGTGGTATGCCATTTGGTATCTATAATTCAGAACAGCAAAGGTAAAATTTAAATGTTTGCATACTGAAAATTACTTCTCTATGTCTTTGGAAAAGAGTATTAGCAATGGTTGGGCATGTAGCAAAAACCAAGCTTTCTGTCTATGAGTTGATGGCTCTGCTTAGTTCAGTTTCTTGAACCATTACAAGCCCCATGCAAGCATTGTGCTGTCTGTCAAATATAACCAAAGGCTGAATGAAAACACTGGGATTAGTTCCACTTCCTCAGAATGTGTCAGGGACCTGGCCACACCTCACCCCAGCCATCCCCCAGTCCCAGCCTGGCCCATTTCATGAGGTACCATTCAAATGACTCCCATCTGCAGCAATACAAATTACTTTCCAAACAAGTCCCTGGCTGCAGTGACTCCCAGCATGCATTGGCTTTTCCCATTTACTCTTTGCTTCCCAAAATCAGATGAGGGTCTTGCCTAAGTATGTGTTTCACATAGTATTGGCACAGATAGGTGTTCAGTGTTTTGTTTATTTTATTGTTTCTATGTTTGTTTGTTTGTTTGAGACAGGGTCTTACTCTATCACCCAGGCTAGAGTGTAGTGGCACCATCACGGCTCACTGCAGCCTTGACTTCCCAGGCTCAAACAGTCCTCCCACCTTAGCTTTCAGAGTAGCTAGGACTACAGGTATGCGTCACCATGCCTGGCTAAGTTTTACATTTTTTTAAGAGACGGGGTCTCACTATGACTGGTCTTGAACTCTTGGGCTCAAGCCACCCTCCCACCTCAGCCTCCCAAAGTGCTGGGATATGCCTGGCTGTAAGTTCGTTTTAACCAGTTAGTTGTATTGTTCATTCAACAGGCTGTTATGTGTGAGGAACTGCAGTAGTTGCTTCTGTCTTGGGCCAAGTGTCTTCCCTAAAGCTCTAGAGTCTTTAAATTAAAACATCTATATAAAAATTTCCCTATTTTTCCTTTCTTGTTTAAATTTATTTCTCAATTATTCTTCCATAATTCCCAGTTTCATTAATTCCTTTTACATTTTGTTTAGCTTTTTCATTTGTAGGTCATGTACATTCGTACATTCATGAATTCAGCAAATGTTTGTCAAGCACCTATTATGCACCCATGTATTATGCTAGCAGTAACAAATTGCATGTTATATAGTTGTTTCAGTGCTTCAGTATTTAGTTGAAGCAACAAATATATACACCTAACTGTAACCACAAGTGATTGCTATACTATACAGATTATATGGGAATATAGTAGAGGAAGCAGGGAGATTTCCTGAAGAGATGGCATTTGAGTAGAATGACAAGAATGTTTACAGGTGATGCCTGAAGGAAGACTGCTCACTAGGACTGGGCTGTAATATTAGAAGCAAAGGCTAGAAAGTAAGTTTGGAGAAATGTTACAGAGGGCCTTGAGTACCACATTTTAGAAATATAGTCTTCATTCTAGGCTCTTAAAAAATCAGTTTATATTTTTGAGGGGGGATAGTGACATGAAATCACTCATGTTTAAGGAGGATAGTTTTGGAGATTTGTAAATGATAGAGAATCAAAAGTCTGGCTCCATTTTTGATAGTTGACTATCCATTCACCAGTTGATGAGAATTTGAGTGGTTAGAATTTGTTTGTCTGTACCAAATAAAGCTGCTGTGAACGTTCATGTGCAAGTCTTTGTATGGACTTGATTTCATTTCTCATCGTTAGATTTCTAGGAGTGGAATTACTGGTTGTATGGCAAGCTTATGTTTACAGTTTAAGAAACTGCCAAACCAAAGAAAATGGGAGAGTAGGGCTCTCAAAGAATCAGTATCTCCTCTGAAACCACCATAAACTGCCAAAAATTGACAGTATAAACTTTCGGAACTCTGGAATCTAAAATTGACAGAATAAACTTTCAGAACTTTCAGAACACTTGCAACGACTGGGCAAGTGCTTGGTGAGGAGAAGGCCTATGAATTCCAGTGAAAGTATCAATATTATGGTGTTTTCACTAGGCTATCATCTATCCTTCCCTAGCACAGAAGGGGCGGCTGTGACGATAGCAGCCCATGTTCTTGGTGTAGCTTGCTTGGTACAAAGGGATGAATATAGACCTTCTTTAAAAACTGTGGTTGTTCATTCTGACCTGTCTGCTGGTTCCTGAAGGGACTGGTGCAGAGGCTGACCTTTGTCCCACCACCCCCTCATGAGTTGGAGTAGCTTTCTGGGAAGTGGTAGCATCTGTAGAAATTTTTTTTTTCTCTTTTTGAGACAGCGTTTCGCTCTTGTCGCCCAGGCTGGAGCGCAATGGCGCAATCTCGGCTCACTGCAACCTCCGCCTCCCGGTTTCAGACGATTCTCCTGCCTCAGCCTCCCAAGTAGCTGGGACTACAGGCATGCACCACCATGCCCGGCTAATTTTGTACTTTTAGTAGAGACAGGGTTTCGCCATGTTGGCCAGGCTGTTCTCAAACTTGTGACCTAAGGTGATCCGCCAGCCTTGACCTCCCAAAGTGCTGGGATTACAGGCATGAGCCACCGCGCCCAGCCTGTAGAAAGATTTAAAGTCATGTACTACCCCTGCCTGCCTGGGGCAAGGGATGGTGGACAGAGCAAGCAGCAGACAAATCCAAAAACCCTCGAAGGAGGAGGCTGGGGGAAGTTTCTTGGGGAACAGAGGGCTTGGAAGGACCATGCATATACCAGGGGAAAAAAGAGTACAATATACGTGCCCGGTATTGGATACATACTCAGAAAAGACCTAAGAGGAGACTAGCTTTGCACCTCTGCTGGAGCAAGTAAGGGGTGAGGGCTAAGGCAGAGTTGTAGGCAGGCTGCCATAGCTTTAAGGGAGTGCCCCTCTCAGAGCCAAAGTGGAAAGACTGGGAGAATCATTTTTTTTTTTATTTTCTTTGATCTCCAGACATCTAAGGAAATCTCCATCAGGTCACTGGCTTACCAATGAGATATTGTAACAAAGACTTCACTGACCACACACAAGCAGGAATACAGTCTGTGCAAATGGTTTGGAAAAGTTGTTAAGCAGACAACTGCAGCCCTCAGCAATCAACAACAGCAAACCCTGAGGACGGGAGAATTTGGTTCCTAGAATCACTGCATTCTGGTATTCAAAATACCTGGTGTTCAACAACAAGAAAAAGACAGGGCATAGAAAGAAACAGGAAAGAATGTCCCATTTGGTGGGGGCGGGGGCGGGGGCACATGGGAATGACAGAAATCATCTCTGAGGAAACCCAGAATTGGACTTACTAGACAAACACTTTTAATGAACAACTGTCCTAAATATGCTCAGAGAAAAAAGAAAAAAACAGGAAAACAAAGTATGAACAAAATGAGATATCAATAAGGAGACAGAAATTATAAAAAGGGGGCCCAGCCGGACGGTGGCTCACGCCTGTAATCCCAGCACTTTGGGAGGCCGAGGCAGGCGAATCACCTGAGATCAGGAGTTCAAGACCAGCCTGAGCAACATGGAGAAACCCTGTCTCTACTAAAAATACAAAATTAGCCAGGCATGGTGGCGTATACCTGTAATCCCAGCTACTGGGGAGGCTGAGACAGGAGAGTCACTTGAACCTGGGAGGTGGAGGTTGTGGTGAGCCGAGATCATGCCGTTGCACTCCAGCCTGGGCAACAAGAGCGAAATTGCCATCTCAAAAAAAAGGGGGGGGACCAATCAAATTGTGGTATTTGCATATAATGGAATATTATTCAGGCATAAAAAGGAATGAAATACTGATGAACCTTGAAAATTGTATGCTAAATAAGCCAGACACAAAAGGTTACATATTGTATGATTCCATTTATACGAAGTATCCACAACAGATAAATCCATAGAAACAGAGAAATTAGATTGGTGGGTGGTGGTTGTTGGGGCCAAGGGAGGCAGGAATTGGGATTAACTACTTAGTGGGAACCACTTTTATTTTGAAATGATCAGAATGTTTTGGAAATAGAGGTGGTGGTTGCACAACACAGAGAATGGAGTAAATGTCACCTAACTGATCACTTTAAAATGGTTACTTTTGAGCCAGGCACGGTGGCTCACACCTATAATCCCAGCACTTTGGGAAGCCAAGGTGGGCAGATCGCTTGAGGTCAGGAGTTCAAGACCAGACTGGCCAACATGGCGAAACCCGTCTCTACTAAAAATACAAAAATTAGCTGGGCATGTTGGAGCCAGGCATGGTGGTAGGCACCTGTCATCCCAGCTAGTTGGGAGGCTGAGGCAGGAGAATCACTTGAACCCAGGAGGCGGAGGTTGCAGTGAGCCAAGATTGTGCCACTGCACTCCAGCCTGGGTGACATAGCAAGACTCTGTCTCAAAAAATAAAATAAAATAGTTACTTTTATGTCATGTGAATTTCACAAAAGTATAAAAATAAAAATTTAAAGAGAGAAAGAACAGCTGTGAGTTTTTTGTTTGTTTGTTTGTTTGTTTTGGTTTTTTTGAGACAGAGTCTCGCTCTGTCGCCCAGGCTGGAGTGCAGTGGCGCGATCTCGGCTCACTGCAAGCTCTGTCTCCAGGTTCACACCATTCTCCTGCCTCAGTCTCCCGAGTAGCTGGGACTACAGACGCCCGGCACCACACCCGGCTAATTTTTTGTATTTTTTTTTTTAGTAGAGACATGGTTTCACCTTGTTAGCCAGGATGGTCTAGATCTCCTGACCTCGTGATCCGCCCACCTCAGCCTCCCAAAGTGCTGGGATTACAGGCGTGAGCCACTGTGCCCGGCCAGCTGTGAGTTTTAAAAGGTTTTTCTCTGTTGTAACATCTCCCTTCCCATCACCTAACCCCCAGGATATGGGCTCAGGGAAAAGTGTTTTGAAGAGAGAATAGATCTGTATAATGCTTAGTTGAAATCTTCCATAAACCCATAAGAGAATCACTTCACACCCATTAAAATAGCTGTAATCAACAAAACGCAGACAATATCAAGTGCAGGTGAGAATGTAAAGAAGGTGGAACCTTGGCTGGGTGCTTTCCTGGAAGAAGCTCCAATATTGGGCCCCAGAGTTAGGGTTGTAGGAAGATGAGAGATAAAGGCATTCTTCTTGCAAGAGTTAGTAAATCCCTAGTCTGAGACGCCCATGAGAGGTGAATGTATGTGGGGTTATGAATAAATAAAATACCTGCATTACTACGAAATTTAAGGGGACAAATATAGCTCTGCTTAATATGCAAATGTATCATTTCAGAATTTATAAAGGACATTAAAAAATTGAAAGGCACCAGGCACAATGGCCCACACTTGTAATCCCAACAGTTTGGGAGGATGAGGCGGGCAGATCACCTGAGCCCACGAGTTCAAGACCAGCCTGAGCAATATGGTGAAACCCTGTCTCTACCAAAAATACACCAAAAAAAAAAAAATTAGCTGGGCGTGGTAATGCACACCTGTAGTCCCAGTGCACCGTCACTAGGGAAGCTGAGGTGAGAGAATTGCTTGAACCCCAGAGGCGGAGGTTGCAGTGAGCCGAGATTGTGCCACTGCACTCCAGCCTGGGAGACAGCAAGACCCTGTCTCAAAAAAAAAAAAATTTTTTTTTAAGAGAAAAAGGAAACTACCAAATGGTTTTATAAAATGACTGTACCATTTTATAATGCACCAAAAAATTTGTGTAAGATAAGACCTGCAGGGAAAAAAAAAAATCCAAACCATGCTTATTGGAAGATATGCCCTTGTCTGTCAACCCTAACCCAAGAAAAGACATACTGACTTCCCAGAACAGCATTCCCACATTCTTGAAATTACATGGACATTCTCATACATGTTGGCTGTACCAACAGTATGTGAAGTTCCACCTTCTTTACATTTTTACCTGCACTTGATATTGTCTGTTTTGTTGATTACAGCTATTTTAATGGGTGTGAAGTGATTCTCTTATGCGTTTACGAAAGATTTCAACTAAGCATTATACAGACCTATTTTTTATTTAGAGCTCTTTTATTTTGAGCTTTTAATGATAGTTCAAATTGTTGTTGAATGCCTTTTTAAACTACTTTATCTTACAAAGTCTAGTTGTAATTTAAATTGAAGATAATCATATGTTCATATTTCCTGACTCTATCAGTTTTTATTCACCCTTTAATTATGATGTTTTTATTATGTTTAAAATATTGTATTCATCTGAAAAGCTCAAACTACACAGTATCATCCCTGCTCCCCCACACCTACCTCCCAAAAAGAGGTTTCATTGTTTCTTCGCCCCACTTTATAACAACATCAGTCACATTCACATACAAAGGATGTGGAACAGAAAAGACCCAAAGAGCTTTGCAAATGCTCCTGGAGGGCACTGGCAGGCACTGGTTGAGCAAGTTCTCTAATGGTGTGTCAGTGGTGAGGTACAGTTCAACAAAGAGTTTTCAGAGGCTTTAATTATATTAACACAACAAATTGTTAACTACTTGTTCTAAGGTTTTTTTCAAACTTTAACTTTAGTTTCTTCTCAATGCATTCTCTTGCTTTATAAGACACTATAAAACACATCTGGTTAGCATTCAGCACTTATGGCACTTGTAAATAAAGAATCCTCTTTCTATTACAAATGTGTGAATAAATGCTATGCTTAAAGATGTTTGATTTTTAAAACAGTGTAGAATTCGTATTTGTCTGAGGCCGAAGTATGACTTTTAGGAAATTGGAATCTGTCCTTTGGCTATTTTGTCTTTAAGAAAGAAGCTGACAGCTTGACTGTCTTGGCCCACACTCCCTGTTTCCATTTCCTCCTGCGGGCCAGGGCTGCATAATCAAAGTTAGACAGTTGTTATGCAAGCTTCCTGGTCTCAGGGGCCCTTATCCCTGTCCAGCCCTTAAACACAACATCTCTCTGTTTCCAAATAAATCCAAGAACTGTACAATCCCTTTCCATGTGTTTGGTCAGCTTTGGCTTCTGGAAATTAGTATGTTTCTTCAACTGTCATTTAAATGTGCAAGTTAGCTGAATTCTTAATAGAAGGAGATTTTGAAAGATAAATAGAAAGCTCACAAACGTCAAAACAAATGTATATAACTAATATCTGCATGTATCAAAGATTTCTAATCTGCAGCTTTTGACCCGTTTATTCAAACGTGATGCAGCTAATTCTAGTGGAACAAAATAATGTGGACCATAGTTTCAGGATAGAGAAGTATTAAACAATTGAAGTTTTGAATAAATGAGCCAAAAGGGAGTCAACATTAAAGTCTTTATACTTTCAGATAAGTTTAAACATTTCCACTCATTGAAATACCAAGAGAATGGGAATGCACTGAAAACATTATTCAGAGCACACCAAAAAGTAATAAAAAATTGTGCATAAAATAAGACCTGCAGGGGGCCGGGTGCGGTGGCTCACGCCTGTAATCCCAGCACTTTGGGAGGCTGAGGCGGGTGGATCACGAGGTCAGGAGATCAAGACCATCCTGGCTAAAACGGTGAAACCCCGCCTCTACTAAAAATACAAAAAAATTAGCCAGTGTGATGGCGGCCGCCTGTAGTCCCAGCTACTCGGGAGGCTGAGGCAGGAGAATGGCATGAACCCGGGAGGCGGAACTTGCAGTGAGCCGAGATTGCGCCACTGCACTCCAGCCTGGGCGACTGAGCAAGACTCTGTCTCAAAATAAATAAATAAATAAATAAGACCTGCAGGGAAAAAAAAATCCAAACCATACTTGTTGGAAGATATGCCCTTGTGTGTCAATCCTAACTCAAGAAAAGACATACTGACTTCCCAAAACGGCATTCCAGATACCACAGTATTAACAAAGGCTTGCAGATTGCCCATCTTAATCCAGGAAAATCACGGGAAATAAAATAGATGATATGTTCTTTGTAACAAATCCTGGAGAATCTGTCTGCGATGTTTCATTTATGGTCACTGTTCTCTAGGATAAGATAAATGTGACAGAGCTAGAAAAGATCCAAAGAGAGGAAGTAAAGTCACCAAGATGGCTACAGAGCTTCCAGATTAAAAAAAGAAAAAGCATTTTCCAAAGTGGAAGGGTAACAGCAGAGAGGAGGCATCTTGGCACTCATCACAATTTTTAAATTATAAATTTAATTTATTTCGTTATTTATTATCTGTCTTTTCCACCAAATTTTATGCTTCATGAGGTCAGGAATACTGTCTTATTTTTTAACTTTTTGTTGAAATATAGACATACATGGGTGCAGCACACCAACATGGCACATGTATACATATGTAACTAACCTGCACATTGTGCACATGTACCCTAAAACTTAAAGTATAAAAAAAAATAGACATACAGAAAAGAGCATATATAGACACATATACATGTATAAATGTATACACTTATACATGTATAAATATATACATTATATAAATGTATACACTTATACATTTATCATGGATATATTTATACATGATAAATATACAGTTTGATAGTTTTTCACAAAATGAACTTGTATGACCACCACTCCGATCAGGAAACAGCATGAGCAGCCCCAGAGCATGAAGCCCCTTCACTCCTTTCCATTCATTCTCCAGCCCAGGGCGAGCACTGCTGGCTCCTGACAGCAGGGATCCACTAGCCTGCTCTAGAACCTGATGTGTATGAAATCGGGCCATGCCTAGTATTCTGTGCTGGCCTTCTTTTGCTCCCTGTTGTTTTTTATGAAGTTCATCCACATTACAATTTTTGATCACACTGTAATTTTCGATCATTCATCTCATTGCTGTATAGTATTCCATTGTGTGGATATACAACAAAGTCTTTATCCATCATACTGTTCCTGGGTATTCCTCAGTTCTGGCTCTATGAACAGTAGCACCATGAGCATTGGGAACACGTGTGCAGATTTCTGTTGGGTGGAATTGCTGAATCATGTCATATACATATGCTCAGCTTTGGTACCTGTTTCCAAACAGTTTTCCAAAGCAGCTGTACCAGTTCACACTCTCACCAGCAGTGTATGAGGGTTCCATTTGCTCACCTGTTTCAACACTGGTTTTGTTAGTCATTTTTAGCCAGTTGGGTGTGTGTGTCATGGTATACCATTGTGGTATTAGTTTGTATTCCCCTGATGATGCACAGTGCTGATTTTGTTCATCAGTATATACCCAGCATTTAACATCATATCTGTGCTTTTTATTAAGGCTCTTTCTATACAAGTGAGAGAGGATGGGACAGAAACCCAACCTAAGTTGGCTTAAACGAAAAGGAACATTAGTGGCTCCTGTAGCTAGCAGAGAGACTGGAGTAGCTCAGACAACCAGAGCTGCTGGCCCCAGGGCTGGAGGCTTCTCTCCCACTGTGTGAGCCTCCCAGCAGCCCTGGCATCATCTGCCCTAAGCATCCACTTCTCAATCCCAGGTGGCAGGAGAGCTGCCCCCGGGGAGCCACACTGTGTGTAAGATGCTGAGAGTGCTGTGATGAGGTGAGCCAGCTCCTGGGCAAAGGTGAGAAGGATTTGTCACCAGAAGAAGGGAGATGAGAAGGCTCACTGGACAAAGAAAAACAGACTTCTGACAGACCACCGTGGCATCACACACAGGAGATACTCCATAATATCATTTTGAATGAATGAATGAGTCAGCCCAAGCTTATGTTGTGCAGGCCACAGACAGGGTGAACCAGAAATATTTTTACTGAAATTACTCTAGGAAAGCAAAGCCGTTTTAGGACAGCAAAGGATTTTCTTTCCTTCTGCCCTCATTTCCCCTAATTCAAGAGCTATTCTATGTTGAAATATGAATAGCTATAAGATGTTTAGCCAATTCATGGATGATCTGTACAGAAATGAATAAATGAAAGAGTGGTGTTTGCTACTCTTCTGTTATCTGTTTTGAGTTTTAAGTCAAGCCCATAATAAGCTGGTTCCTTCCTCCTGCCTGGGCCAACAATGAAAGCGAACAGTGATTAGAGTTTGGCAGAGCTGGTTTATGTGGTCTGTGGCCAGACTACAAGGCGAGTGTTATTTTGGGACCCAAATAAAAACTATAAGTTTTTTTCTTTAAATTCTTTCGGTAAAAAATGGGAGCCACTTATTAAAATAACCAAGCATAATAGTTAAACTGGTAGCAGTAGATAAAGGGAACCCGGTAGAGAAGCCAAGAATATAGGTACACTTTGCTACCTTTCTCACGAATCTCAAAGGTAATATGATATCCTGGATGGGAATCCTGGAACAGAAGGACATTAAGGCAAAACTGAGGAAATCTGAATGAAATTTGGACTTTAGTTATAGTAGTGATGCAGCAATCTTGGTTCATTAATTATAACAAACATCCCACACTAATGGAAGATGCTAATAACAGAGGAATAACAGGGGAAACTGGGTGTGGGATATGTAAGGACTCTGTATTGTCTTTGCAATTTTCCTGTCAATGTAAACTGTTTTAAAAAGTAGTTTAAGAAAAAACCAGGTGAGGGTCTTGGAGGAGCCTGTGCAGGGAGGCTCCTGGAGCTTCAGCTTTATTAGTTTTAGGGTCAGCCCACCTCTGGTCTCCCTCCATTCTTATCAGTGGGATCACGGGGAACCTAAAATTTTCTTGAGAAAGGCACCTTGAGTAGGTGGCCCCGTGAGCAGGTGGCCCAGCTGCTGCTTCCACTTCTGGCTCTGGGCCACTGGTACAGCACGGCGTGTCTGAGCCTTGTTTTTCTTATTTTAAAAGATGGGCATAATTTTATATCTCTGCCTCATAAAGGTGTTATGAGGTGTTAAAAGATCTTTCAACACTAGAACTACTATGCAAATGGAATAAATTATCATTGTCCTTTGGACTACTTTGCTGAGACTTTTCATCGCCCCTCAAGTTTTAAATCTCTGCCTAGTATTCATTTTATTTCATTTTTCCTTAACCATCAGCTCTTGATGTAATACAAAATTTCAACTTAAAATTTCATTTGTGGCCAGGCATGGTAGCTCACACCTGTAATCCCAGCACTTTGGGAGGCTGGGGTGGAGGGATCACTTGAGGCCAGGAGTTTGAGACCATCCTGGACAACATAGCAAGACCCCATCTCTACAAACATTTTTTAAAAACTTTTAAAAATTAAAAAAAGTTTTCATTTATGTAAGTTATTTGTGCCCTATTTTTCTATGTCCTGGATGTGAGAGGTTGCTCTTCTTTTTTTTTTTTTTTTTTTTTGAGATGGAGTTTAGCTCTTGTTGCCCAGGCTGGAGTGCAGTGACGTGATCTTGGCTCACTGCAACCTCCGCCTCCCAGGTTCAAGCAATTCTCCTGCCTCAGCCTCCCGAGTAGCTGGGATTATAGGCGCAAGCCACCAAGCGCAGCTAATTTTTTGTATTTTTAGTAGAGACAGGGTTTCACTATGTTGGCCAGGCTGGTCTTGAACTCCTGACCTCAGGTGATCCACCCACCTTGGCCTCCCAAAGTGCTGGGATTACAGGCATAAGCCACCATGCCCAGCCATGTTGCTGTTTTTCTAAGAACATGTGTTGACTTCATGGTTTATTTGTTTATTGATTTTTTGGAGATAAGATCTCACTCTCTCATCCAGGCTAGAGTGCATTGGCACAAACATGGCTCACTGCAGTCTCAACCACCTGGGATCAACTGATCCTCCCACCTCAGCCTCCCATGTAGCTGGGACCACAAGCATGCAACACCACACGCAGCTAATTTTTTATTTTTTGTGGAGATGGGGATCTTACCTTGTTGCCCAAGCTGGTCCTGAACTCCTGACCTCAAGCAATCATCCGGCCTTACACTCCCAAGGTGCTGAGATGACAGGCATGAACTCCCAAGTCTGCTCAGTTTTTTGTTTTTTGTTTTTGTTTTGTTTTTTGTTTTTTTTTTCATGGAGTCTCGCTCTGTCGCCCAGGCTGGAGTGCAGTGGCACCATCTCGGCTCACTGCAACCTCCGTCTCCTGGGTTCAAGCGATTCTCCTGCCTCAGCCTCCCAAGTAGCTGGGATGACAGGCGTGCACCACCATGCCTGGGTAATTTATTTTTAGTAGAGACAGGGTTTCACCATGTTGGCCAGGCTGGTCTCAAACTCCTGACCTCAGGCAATCTGCCCACCTCGGCCTCCCAAAGGGCTGGGATTGAAGGCATGAGCCACCGCACCCAGCCTATTTCCTTCCATTTTTAAAAAACTGAAAGCATTTAACGTAAGACTGTGAAGTACAAGTTTGAACATACATCATTGGCTTTATTTATAAAATATAGTATAAATATTATTTAAACTTTAAATTCTATACCCAAACTATTCATCAAGTATGAGGGAAAAATAAACACATTGTTAAACATGAAAGTCCTCAAAAAATGGCAGATTGAAACATACAGCATTTATCAGGCACCCTGCCAAAACCTTTCTAAAATGGCAGTAAAAAAGGTGTTTTGTTTGTTTGGTTGTTTGTTTTGAGACAGAGTCTTGCTCTGTTGCCCAGGCTGGAATGCAGTGGTGTGATTCTAGCTCACTGTAGCCCAGAATTCCTCGGTTCAAGTGATCCTCTTGCCTAAGTCTTCCAAGTAGCTAGGGCTACAGGCACACACCACCATGTCTAATTTTTAAAAATTTTTGTAGAAATGGGGTCTCACTATGTTGCCCAGACCGGTTAGTTTTTAAAAGACATAAATGCACAGATAAATAGGTAGGGCCAAGCCAAGCCCTGGAGTTCAAGGCCAGCCTAGGCAACATAGTAAGACCCTGTGTCAAAAAAAAAAAAAAAAAAAAAAAAAGAAAGAATAGAAAAATAGGTGGGAAGAAGGCAGCAATACAATATTGGAAGCTAGAAAGTGTGGTATTTGATTAAAACGAGAGAAAGCCTTGAGGAAGGCTGATGTGTTTTATAGAATTCCAATTTGCTCAGAAATGGGAGGCATCAAGTACATTGGAAAGTAGGGACAGGATGGAGAAGAGTTAGTCGGAAGTCCATACGGGAGGCAGAAAGGCTCTCCTACACCCCGACTTCTGTCCCCGCCATGACAGCAGCCATCTATTAATAAAAAAAACGATGATAAGAGCCAGAGAGGTTCTGGACTCTGGGCCCCACTGTGGCTTTTTTTTTATAACCTTCCTCTATAATACTTCCTCTAAGTATTTTTAATAAAAAATGAGGCATAGGAAGTTTCCTTTACTAGATCAGGGCTCTTCAAGGTTGAGACTTGGCTATATTCATGTCTAGCACTAGATTGGGAAAAAGTGAGCAAATTTTTAGGGGCAATTATGTTTCCCAACAAAAATGTTTTTTCTGCTACCATCAAAGTCAGTTGCCAGCACTGAATTATGCTGCTACAAATTGATTGTGATAAAACTTGACCTGTATACTGCAACTATATTTGAGCTTAGAGATGTTATCTAGTAGAATGTTTATAAGCTTAGGTTTTGGAATCTGTTTCCCTTAGGTTTTAATCAATTTACTAGTTGTGTAATCTTAAGCAAGTTATGTTAATTATTCTGAGCCTTAGTTTCATTAAAATGAGCAATATACCGCAGATTTCATATGACCACTGTGAGGATTGAATGAGCTATAGTGCAAGTCGACTGCACAGGGCCTGCAAGAATGAAGGGCTCCAAACGGGGTGGGGACAGGAGTGGGAGTGATTTGTCTTGTGAAAAAGAACCTGAAGACCTCAAGAACGCCTGCCAATCTCAGAATCTCCCTTATTCTGTGAAAAAGTTTAAATGGGATCATAACTTTAAATTATAATTAGTTTCAATGTTTTTAGACAGCATTACTTTGAGATTTATGAAATAATGAGAGTTTAAACCTTAATGATAAAATTTTCTGTGTATATCTGGAATATTACTTTCATTATCTGTTATAATTACATATGAATAATTACATAAAGAGAAAATTGTGGAATTATCTCTAAAGAGTTTCTAGTATTTACTGTTACATTGATATGTGTGTGTATATTTAGCTTCTTCATTATCATTTCTGACTATTTTAAAATAAACCAACTTGGCTCACATTTTCACATTAGTGGTCTAGGAGGGAAGTGAATTCCTTTTCAAAGCTTAAAATTACTACATGATTAACTTTCAGTGATAATCTTAAAAAAGAACTACTGCTAGGACTTACATTCCAATCTGAAGCATTCTCTGTTTTCTCTAGTAATCTTAATGGGAAGTCAGTTTTTTATGGGTACATTTGCCTTTAGAGTGATTGCAGGGTGCATGTTTCTAAGGTGTATAAATTACTGACTTTGCTTGAGTAATTTTCCCCTTTCCATTCTAAAGTGGGAAAGTATAGAAAAATCATATTTGTAACTTTTATTCATTTTTAGGATTCCCATATCCGTTTGTTCCTTCTTTTAGTTCCATTTTCTAGACAAAGTGTTTGTGGCCAAACGTTCACATCATGATCTCTCCCAGCACCAATTCTGATTTCCCAAAAAGTGCTAAGGTTTGTTTTCAAACTGGTTTGAGGTGTTCTTTGGGGGTGTGGGTTTTGTGAGTCACAGGGCTCCTCTCTGTCTGGGCTGGCCAAGGGCAGGGGCCAGCTCTCACCCCCCACTGCCATGGGTCCCTCTGAGAAGGAGTGAAGGAGGGGAGAAGGTGGGCATGTGAGGGCGAGTTGGCCTCATCCCCACAACCCCAGCACAGTAGTCCTTGCTCCTCTGAGCTTTCTATAATCACCCTAGCAAAGGGACAGTGATTTCCAGTGAGAAAACCCTCCACAGAGTATCGGGAGTAGTGGGAATCTACTAGAGGATGTGTCAGGAGGGAGAAATTACATGGGGAAATAACTTGTCTTCATTTTCTCTGGGGTTGTGATGTGACATCACATGGGCAGAGGCAGCACTGGGTCTCACCCTGCACTGTGTGCACAAGGGTCCAGTTGGAACAAGGTCAGGAGGCAGGGCATCTCACTGGCCTGTCCACATGGCCAGCTCGGAACACACTGTTTCCTGTCTCCTGAGACAGAAATTTGTATGAGAAGCAAAGATTACAAAGATTACAGATAAATGAAATTTAAATATTCAGTTATAAAACAAATAACTGAAGGGGTTTTTTTTTTTTTTGAGGAATTTTTCCAGCTTAACAGAATTAAAATGAACTATGATGAAACATGGCAAAAACTACAAGGAGGCCAGGCGCAGTGGCTCACACCTGTAATCCCAGCACTTTGGCAGGCCGAGGCAGGTGCATCACTTGAGCTCAGGAGTTCGAGATCAGCCTGGCCAAAATAGTGAAACCCCATCTCTACTAAAAATTAGCCAGGCATTGTGGTATGCACCTGTAATCCCAGCTACTAGGGAGGCTGAGGCAGGAGAATCACTGGAACCCCAGAGGCGGAGGTTGCAGTGAACTGAGATCGCACCACTGCACTCCAGCCTGGGATGGAGTGAATTCCACACCCAGAGTAAGACTCTGTGTCAAAAAAAAAAAGGAAGTGGAAATATGGTTGAGAATAAAGGGATTTCTGTTGGAATTTCATCCCTAGGGGTTTGAAAACCATTTTACTATTCAGAAGCACAGAAATGGCCCAAACCAGGCCCTGAAAGGAGCCCAGGAAACAAAAAGGGTGAAAAGAAAAAGAAAAAAGTCCATCTTAGGCTTAGGGGCTAAGGTCACACAGGACAGACCTCCCCGTCCGACACCAGCCCCTGGCTAGACTATCACTGTGCCATACGGGAGGGATTGTGTGGTCAGTAGTTTTTGTTTTGTTTTGTTTGTTTTTGTTTTTGTTTTTGTTTGAGACAGAGTATCCCTCTGTCACCCAGGCTGGAATGCAGTGGTGCGATCTCGGCTCACTGCAACCTCTGCCTTCCAGGGTCAAGTGATTCTCCTACCTCAACCTCCTGAATAGCTGGGACTACAGGCTCCCACCACCACGCCTGGCTAATTTTTGTATTTTTAGTACAGACGGGGTTTCACCATGTTGGCCAGGCTGGTCTTGAACTCCTGACCTGACGTGGTCCACCTGCCTCGGCCTCCCAGAGTGCTGGGATTACAGGCGTGAGCCACTGCGCCTGGCCCAGTGGTTGTTTTTTTAATCTGCTTTCCTCCTGTTTCTCAGAGTCACTTCCCAAGAGAAAGCACTATTAAAAGTATGGTGTAGCTCCCACTAGATGTTTCTCCATTTACGAGACATGGTCAGATTACTTTCCCCCTAGGCTGTGGCCTCCTCCAGCCTCTCTTTTGGTTTATCTGTGTCTCATGAACATCCAAACTGCCTGGAGCTCCACAGGCTTCCCTGGGGGACCAGTGGGACCCACCTCCCCTGGTCTTTCCTGGTCCGTGTCTTCTGCAAAGGGCCAAGGAGTAACTGTTTTAAGCTTTGCAGCCATGTAGTCTGCTCAGTCACTAAGTTCAGCACAAAAGCAGCCACAGACTGTATATACCTAAGTGAGGGTGGCTGTGTGCCAATCAAACTTTATTACAGACACTGAAGTCTGAAGTTTGCATTTAATGTAATTTTCACATGTCACGAAATCTTTGGAGTTCTTTTCAACCATGTTTAGCTTGAGGTTCCATACAAGAACAGAAGGGCGTGGGATCTGGCTTCTGGCCTGTCATTTGCTGTCTCCTGCCCTGGCTCTCTTCCTGTCCATACAGGCCCATTATTCATGCTTGCATTTGCTGTTTGTTTATTAAAATTCCCCAGCTCTTCGTTTTAAAAATGCCATTGGGATATATTTCCAGTAGAGTGGGTCTCTTTCAACTCTGGGTTTCCCTGGTTCTTCCCAAGTCTGTACAAACAAGAAAAGTTGGGTCAAGGGAGGATGGAGGCTCCCAGCTGGTCTGTTCTGCAAAGGTCTGGAGATGAGGTAAGTGCTGAGGGCTGGGCCACCCCACTGGGGCTGGGGCACATGGAGAATGTTTGGCACAAGCCCTTGCGAGGGTTCTGGGGCATCAGTCACTACCAGAAAGACAGCGCAAGTCATGCCCTGGTCGGCCATCCCTTCTGGTGGGGGTTGTGTTTTTGCTCCTGTGGCAAAGTGCTGCAATGACATTCCAGCTCTCCCAGGTTTATGCCCCACCATGGGTTTGGAATAGAGAGGCTTTTCTGGTTGTTTGTTTTACTAAGCAACATTTAGGACACATTTTTTAACTCCCTGTGGACAAGCAATCCTTCTAACAGAGCTCCTCAGCTGTTCCCAGTTATTTTTGTGGATGGTCTTGTGGATGGTGCAGGTCCCCTGAGGGGTCCTTCCTGGACACCCATGTTCATCCACTGAGGGCGACTGATCTCTGACTTCCGTCCCCACACAGGGTCAGACAAGTGGGTCTGATGCCTCCTGAGCCAGCAAGTTGCTGTGCTCCCTTGTTTTTTACCAACCAGACGACTCTTAGGGGCAGACGTGTGTGTCGCTAGGTCTGTGTTTGCGTGTCCGAGCCTCAGGACCACGTCCAGGAAAGTTAGGCTAATATGGTTTACAGGAGGCAATTCAGCAGCATAGCCACTGCATTCCTTTCTGCTTGTATCACTACATGGACGTATTTACTTCAAAAACACAAATAGAGTCTAGAAAAACTGGTTAAAAATCCACACAATTAGACTTGGAGATACAGTCTTTCCATCCTGTATGTAATCAAAAGATTTAAAAGTCAGGCACCTTTTGTCCAGCCTTGTAGCCTGGGGATTTCTGTTAACATTTCAGTCGGACGCTGTGTCAGTGAGGGACTCTCTTCTGCTAGGTGTGCCAATCAGGAAATTTCCAAAGGGAGCTTCTGGTGCTGCCGGCGGTTAGTTGTTACTTCAAATGATTGTGATGATACAAAGTGCTCGAATATCCAGTCCTTTCCATGTTAGAGCTCTTGAGAATCTGAAAACCCCATCTCGCCTCCCCCGTGGGGGTACCAGCCCTCATTTAAACGCCACGCTGTGACCAAAAGGACAGAGGTGCCTGGCCTGGTATTAGGCCCGGGAAAGTCTCAGTGTCAGATAAATGACTGCGTTGTGTCAGCTCCATGTCACGCTCCATGTGCCCACAGAGGAGTGGGCTGGGAGGGGACAGCAGGCACTCTTGGGAGACTGTAAATCGGCTGATCAAACAAGGGGATACACTGAGGGTGAAGGGACACAGTCTCTCCCCAACAGCAAAGCGACTGACAGATGTCAAAAGAGCTAGACTGAGGTGTCTGGGAGAGCTCGTGCCTGCGTGTTTTGAATATGGGTGTGCACAGACAGGGGTGGAAGTGGCTGCAAGTGGCTCATGCACCTGCACACACCAGTGTGTCCTTCCTAGCTCTTTCCACTGACAGGCCCTAGAAGTAATGAAGCTCCAGGAGCAACGAGCCCAGGTCCTGGTTTGTAAATACTGTCAGCTCCTTTGATTCTAGAGCTGGGCAGGGAAGTACAAAATGAGCCTAGAACAGCTGATGATGCCAGAGAGTAGGAAGACCTCAAAGAATGGTGGGGCTGTGTCAGAAGAACCAGGAGCAGTTTACAGGAGCTCATACTGGCCAGACCTGGGGGCTTGAGCATCACGACCAATAGTGATCTTAAACAGGTTACAGCCTATGGAATAAACAAGTGACTGAGTGGATACTGATACAAATGAATAAGGGAAAAGGAGAAGCTCTTTCTGCTGGTAGAAAGCCAACAGATGCGGGAGGAATGATGGAAACGGAAAGCCACCTTTTGGGACCCTCACTGTCGTTGGTGTTGCCATGAGCCATCATAGGGTCTCAGACTCAGGAGTGGACAGTGGTCTCAGGACATCCCATGGAGCACAGTGGTGGGGCCGCGTCTGAGGCACACAGGCAGCATTTCCATGGGGCTCCAAACCTGGCATCAACTCAGCATGGATATGCAGCGTTAGGCCCAGATTCAGCAATCTGTGGTGCCAGCAGCTGCACCCAGGCTGTCAAGACCAGCCATGCTGGGGCCTGAGGGGACAAGGAAGGAGAGACGCAGTTGGGACAGCTGGGGACATCTGAAGGGGCACGTTCTGGTTTGGAGAAGTATGTTTTGGTCACATAGGAGATCTGCTCAATTGGGGAAAAACCCTGTGTGTGTCCAGGGGCGAGGGGTACCATGTCTCAGCATGGCGCAACACAGAGGGAGGTGACAGGCGGTGTGAACAGGCGGCAGCTTCTCATTCTCCTCGTATACTGTTTCTGTAAATTCAAAATTACATTCAAATTAAACTTTTTTTTTTTTTGGCGCAATTTCGGCTCACTGCAACCTCTGACTCCCTGGTTCAAGTGATTCTCCTGCCTCAACCTCCCGAGTAGCTGGGATTACAGATGGGCGCCACCACGCCCAGCTAATTTTTGTATTTTTAGTAGAGAAGGGGTTTCACCATGTTGGATAGGGTGGTCTCGATCTCTTGACCTCGTGATCCGCTCGCCTTGGCCTCCCAAAGTGCTGGGATTACAGGCATAAGCCACCACACCCAGCCTCAAATTAAACTGTAAAAACACGACTGAGGCTCAGAGAGTTTAAAAGGGATTTCTCAAAGTCATATAGCCAATCAACAGCTAAGTGGGCTGAGGTGGGACAAAGGCCCCTTGTCCCAGGCAGGGCAGTTGTGCAGGCCCCAGGGCCCCGGCAGTACCTGTTCACTCGGTAATGGTTTGATTGTCTAACACACATAAGATCATACGCATGGTAATGTGTGAAGAACCTAGACCAGTGTCTGGCACAGAGGTGCCTTTGTATTTGTCAGTTTTCTTTCTGAAATGAGGGCAGATCATTGTTCTTCCCAGTGCTCCTGCTGTAGGCATTTCTAAACCTTTCTGAAGTTTATCATACTTCTCTCAGAAGTCTTGTGCGTGGAGAGCAGGGGTGTGGTGGTACACTCACCAAGACACCCACAGTGCCAAGTCCAACAGACATGTCTCTGCTACTTTCACCAGATGCTGCAGGAGCTGTTGCCCACTCCCTCCTCAGCGATCCCTGTGCACTTCCCCACCTTCCTGCCTACACTCAGCTCTGATCACCCCCGACACACCTCTCCTGCCTTACCTCACAAAAAGTACCTCATCTGCACCCCTGCCCTGGAGGTCAGAAACTCTCCACACCCCACATCCAGCAAGCCCTGATGCCACACCCCCAGAGCACATCCACGTCACTCCAGTGTCACTCAGCCATGGTCCCCCTGCTTTCTCCCACATCTTGCCCACCTCCCCAGTCCACTCTCCATGCAGCAATCAGTGTGATCCTTTCCAAATGACATCAGGTGGGGTTCTGGGGACCAGTCTGTGTGTTCTGGCCCTGCCCTGCTCCGAACTTCATCCTTGCCCTTCTCCCCACCACCAGCAGGTGGTAATGGGGCTGATGTGCATTCTTAAAGAATCACTTGCTGCTCCCAGTTTTGGCGCTCTTACTAATGATCGTTTGCATGCAGTTTTTTTGTATGGACATGTTTTCCTTTCTCTTGGGTAAATATGTAGGAGAGGGATTGCTGGATCACGTAGTAAGTGTGTTCAATGTGGTAAGAAGCTGCCAAACTTATCCAATTCCTAGCAGCAGTGTATGTTAGTTCCAGTTGTTCCACATCTTCACCAGAACTTAGTATTGTTCTCTTTTTTATTTTAGCCATTCTGATGGGTATGTTGTGGCATCACCGTGTGGTTTTAATTTGCAATTCCCTAATGACTAATGATGTATCTTTTGCACATTTAACCAAATAAGAGATGTGCAAAAGATACGTCACTAGTTTGGTTTAAATCCTTTGCCCATTGTTTAAAATTGGGTTATTTATCTTCTTTTTACTGAGTTGTGTCCTTCATATATTCTGGATACAAGTTTTTGCCAATATTTTCACTCAGTCTGAGGTTGGCCTTTTTCTTTTTCTTCTTCTTTACAATGGCTTTTAAGAGTAGCAGTTTCTAATTATGATGAAGCCAGTCTGTCAATTAGCTAATTTATTTTTCTCTTATGGTCACTGCTTTTTTATTTAGTTAGTTTTATTTATTTTTTGAGATGGAGTTTTGCTCTTGTTGCCTAGGCTGGAGTACAAGAGCGTGATCTCAGCTCGCTGCAACCTCTGCCTCCCAGGTTCAAGCAATTCTCCTGCCTCAGCTTTTGGAGTAGCTGGGATTAAAGGCATGTGACACTATGCCCAGCTAATTTTTGTATTATTAGTAGAGACGGGTTTTACTATGTTGGCCAGGCTGGTCTCAAACTCCTGACCTCAGGTGATCCACCCACCTCAGCCTACCAAGGTGCTGGGATTACAAGCATGAGCCACCACACCCGGCCTGCATTTTTATTTAAGAAATCTTTGGCTAACCCAGAATTACACAGATTTACTCCTATGTTTTCTCTCAGAAGTTTTACAGTTTTAGCCCTTATGTGTCCTTTTTTTGAGACAACAGAATCTCAGTTGCCCAGGCTGGAGTACACTGGTGCAATCCTGGCTCACTGCAACCTCCACCTCCCAGGTTCAAGCAATTCTCGTGCCTCAGCCCCTCAAGTAGCTGGAATTATAGGCACACACCACCACACCTGGCTAATTTTTATATTTTTAGTAGAGAAGGGGTTACACCATGAGACCATGTTGGCAAGGCTGGTCTCGAACTCCTGGCCTCAAGTGATCCACCTGCCTTGGCCGCCCAAAGTGCCGTAATTACAGGTGTGAACCACTGCGCCCAGCCCCTTACATTTCTATGTATGATTCATTAGAGTAAATTTTCGTATATGGTGTACAGTAAGCATTGAAATTCATTTTTTTTTTTTTACATGTGGATATCCAATTGGCCCAGTGCCAGTTACTGAGGAGTCTAGGGTAAATTTTGCCAGCATCTTATGCCACGGTGTGACCTCACAGATGTTATCTCTCTATAAACCAGAGTATCTTTCAAAACAGAAAATGTTACTAAAATACAAATGAAACCAAGATGATTGAATGGGGAAAGCAGGAGTCTTTTCAACAATTGGTTCTCAGACAACTGGATATTCACAGACAAAAGAATGGAGCTGGACCCCTACCTCACACCATATATAAAAATTAACTCAAAATGGATCAAAGACCTAACTTTAAGAGCTAAAACTGTAAAACTCTTAGAATTAAACATAAATGTAAATCTCTGTGACTGTGAATTAGGTCATGGTTTCTTAGCTATGACACCAAAAGCACAAGCAGAAAGCAAAAAGAAAAAACTTAAATTGGATTTCATCAAAATGAAAAACTTTGTACTTCAAGTACATTAAAGAAGTAAAAAGACAACTCACAGACCGAGAGAATATTTTTGATCATATATTGGGTAAGTGACTTGTTCTAGAATATATAAAGAGCTATTACAATTCAATAACTAAAAGATAACCCAATTTAAAAATAGGCAAAGGGGCCAGGCGTAGTGGCTCACACCTGTAATCCCAGCACTATGAAGGCCGAGGCAGGCAGATCCCTTGAGCCCAAGAGTTCAAGACCAGCCTGGGCAACATGGCAAAACCCTGTCCCTATTAAAAAATACAAAAATTAGCCAGGTGTGGTGGCATGTGCCTGTAGTCCCAGCTACTTGGGAGGCTGAGGTGGGAGAATTGCTTGAGCCTGGGAGGTAGAGATTGCAGTGAGCCAAGAATGCACCACCACACTCCAGCCTGTGAGAGAGAGTAAGATTCTGTCTTAAAAAAATAAAAATTGGCAAAACATCTGAATAAACATTTCTCCAAAGAAGGTATACAAATGACCAGTAAGCACATAAGAGAAAAGCAAATCAAAATCACAATGAGATACCAACTCATGGCCAAAGTGTTGATGGGGCTATGGAGAAATCAGAACTCTTGTACACTGCTGATGGAATTATAAAAACAGTGCAGCCACTGTGAAACAGTTTGGCAACTCCCCAATGGTTGGAGAGTTATTATATGACCCAGAAATCCCGCTCCTAGATATATAACCAAGGGAAATGAAAATATGTATGTGCAAAACTTATACACAAATGTTATAAACAGTAATGCTATGAGCATTATTTCAAAAAGCCAAAAAGGGCAAGGCACAGTGGCTCACGCCTGTAATCCCAACACTTTGGGAGGCCAAGGCGGGCAGATCATGAGGTCAGGAGATCAAGACCATCTTGGCCAACATGGTGAAACCCCATCTCTACTAAAAATACAAAAATTAGCCAGGTGTGGTGGCACGCGTCTGTAGTCCCAGCTACTGAGGAGACTGAGGCAGGAGAATCGCTTGAACCCAGGAGGTGCCTATAGTCCCAGCTACTCAGGAAGCTGAGGCAGGCGAATCGCTTGAATCCAGGAGGCAGAGGCTACAGTGAGCCAAGATTGCACCACTGCACTCCAGCCTGGGCGACAGAGCAAGACTCTGTCTCAAAATAATAACAATAATAATAATAATTTTTTAAAAAATCAAATAGCCAAAAAGTAAAAACCACCCAAAAGTCTGTTAGTTGATCATTGGATAAAGAAAATGTGGTACATAAAAGACCATATGTAATTCCATTTGTATGAAATGTCTTGAATAGAGAAGTTTTATAGTTTTAGCACTTACATTTCTATGATTCATTAGAGTAAATTTTTGTATTTGGTGTGCAGTAAGCATTGAAGTTTGTTTTTTTTATCATGTGAATATCCAATTGGCCCAGTGCCAGTTACTGCGGAGTCTAGTGTGAGTTTTGCCAGCATTTTATGCCACGGTGTAACCTCACTGATGTCATCTCTCAATAGACCAGAGTGTCTTTCAAAACAGAAAATGTTACTAAAATACAAATGAAAGCAAGACAGAAAGTAGCCTGGTGGTTGCTTATGGCTGTACTGGGAGGGTGGGTGTTAAGGGGACTAGGGGCAATAGCTAAAGGGTACATTTAGGGGGTGATGAAATGTTGTGGAATTAGAAAGTGGTGATGGTTGCACCACCTTGTGAATATACTAGTACCCATTGAATTATACACTTTAAAGGAATTATGTCTCATATAATTTATATGAATTTATCTCAATTCTTTAAAAGTCACTGAATCGGCCAGACATAATTTTTGGGAAAATATTAGTCAAGATGAGTTAACGTATCTGTGGACACCCAAGGGTAGATTTAAACTCAGGATTCAAGGTTTCCCATTTATTTAAGTGGGAGACATAGCATTCCTCTTTGGTATTGCACTGAAATATAATACAAGGTTGGTTTTCTGTAAAGCTCTGCTAAAAATTCTATTCCCTTTGGACTAGCATCCAGCAGCTATTACAACAGCACAGTGGGTCTCAGGTGTAAAACTGGGGCTGGATATCAAATTGCCAACATTCTTACAGCCATCTTTCTATCATAAACACCAGGAGAGCTCTCAAATGCAGACTCCCCACATATGGCAACCAGCTGAACAAACACCCACTTGAATCACTGCCTCAGCATTTCTAGCTTAAGACGAGCTTTCCTGTGGAAGGCGGGGGCTCCAGAGGGGAAGTGCCAGTGCCTGCCAACCAGTTAGTGTGCTCAGCGAGGTCCCCTCCCAACAGCCACCCCTATATCACCACCTTCCTGACAATATCCATGGAAGCACAGGCATCTCGTTCACTTTCCTTAAGCCAGAAGTCTCAGGGGTGTGCAGGTCCCTAAGGTGCACTAGGGAGAGCCACGGGTCCAAGAATGTCCCACGGGGGCTCAGCCAGGTGCCGTCCTTCTCTTGGCCTCGATTTTAAATGTGACACATCTAAGGAGCTTTCCAGATAAGGCTTGATATTTTTCAATTCACTTTTTTTGTGTGTGTAACTATTTGTCATGGAAAGCATTCGAAAATATACGGTACATACCTCTTCCTCATCAGAGCATGTTTGTCTTAACTCTTTCTTGCCAATTTGGTCATCTTTTATCCACGTCAAATACAGTCATTTATAAAACTCGACTGCTGTTGAGATGTGCTGACCGTAGGCCTAATGATCTCAAGCCCACTCTGTCTTGAGTTGTATTGTATATAACTAACGTACCCCTGTTCACAGCTTTTCCATCTTCTCTCCCCACCTGTACATGTGTGCCAATGAGACCCATCCTTTCTATTTCAAGTTATCAGTGACCGTGACCTTGGCTAAAAGAATGGAGCATTATTAACTTCCACAAAAGAACCTTTGCACACAGTCCCACAAAAGTCCTCCAGAAACATGCACTGAATGCCTGACCTCTTCCTAATGTCAGCGTTTCTACCTTTGACTTTATTTTACAAACTAAAGGGAGTAAGGTACACTTTTTTTACTGAAAGCATCTAATTTAAACCCCTTTTTGCTCACAAGGAGAGGTGAGGAGAGGCCCAGGGAGGCAGAGAGCTGCTCCATCTGCTCCCTTGTGCTTGGAGGCTGAACCTCGGGCCCCACGTTGGAGCTGGCCCAGGCCCCAGCCGTCCCAATGAGTCCCAAGTGCTGCCGCTGAGCCAGCCTGGAAGCTGAGCTGCCACGTTCACAGGCTCTCCCTTACGGTCCTCATGCAGTTGTGATTAATTTGGAAGAGCCTGCGGCTTAAAAATCAACCAACACTTTCCACTTAAATCACTTAGGTATACATTTTCTTATGGAAACTGTTGTGCTGAAGTTAGTAATTGTAAGCTTCCGCCAGGCCCCTCTCAGCCTCTGGCAGGTGCAGCTGGTGCTGCGATGCACCCTTGCCATGCTGGGCCCACATGCACAGGGTGAGGGCCTCCCACACTGGCAAGAGCTCAGCGATGCAGGGGCTGCTTCCTTTAAAAGCTTTGTCATGCCATTGTCCCCACACAACCTCATTCAGCAGAGCTGATCTGGTTCAATCCGGCAAGTCTCTGGAGCAGCAGGAAGGCCCTGTCACTGCAGTTCCAGCCTGCTCCCTTGCCTTGTGTCCTCTGACTAGCTGTCAGGCCAGATGCTTCTCAGGGAAAACGTCCCCTCACTATCCTTCCCTAAGGCCTGGGGAGGCCACAGTGCTTTTTAATCATGGCAGGGCTTGCATGAGACTTAAGCAGCACCCCCAGGCTTCTATATCAGTCGCTGTGAGAGGACAGAAAGGAAAGCACGTCTCTCAGAGACTAGCCCTAGGAGCTCGACATCTCAGGCGGAGCCTACCGTGAAAGTCTCCTGTCACCCCTGACCCTGCAATCTGTTCTCACAAGAGCAGACAAAAAGACATTTTTGTGTGTGTGTGTTTTTGTTTTTGAGATGGAGTTTCACTCTTGTCGCCCAGGCTGGATGGAGTGCAGTGGCACGATCTCGGCTCACTGCAGCCTCCGCCTCCTGGGTTCAAGGGGTTCTCCTGCCTCAGCCTCCCGAGTAGCTGGGATTACAGGCACCCACCACCACGCCCAGCTAATTTTTTTTAGTAGAGACGGGCTTTCACCATGTTTGCCAGGCTGGTCTTGAACTCCTGACCTCAGGTGGTCTGCCCTCCTTGGCCTACCCAAAATGCTGAGATTACAGGCGTGAGCCACCCACCGCACCCAGCCAAAAACACAAGTGTTTGTTTGTTTGTTTGTTTTGAGACGGAGTCTTGCTCTGTCGCCCAGGCTGGAGTGCAGTGGTGCGATCTCAGCTCACTGCAACCTCTGCCTCACAGGTTTAAGCGATTCTTCTGCCTCAGCCTCCTGAGTGGCTGGGACTACTGGCACGTGCCGCCAGGCCCGGCTACTTTTTGTATTTTTACTAGAGACAGGGTTTCACTGTGTTGGCCAGGATGGTCTCAATCTCTTGACCTCGTGATCCACCCACCTCGGCCTCCTAAAGTGCTGGGATTACAGGCATGAGCCACTGCACCTGGCCCAAAAAGACAAGTTTTTAAGAACTGAGAGAACAGGGCCACCATTACTCTTATCAGTTTTGAATATGTATCATCTGTTCAGGTTCCAGTAAGCAAACTGTGTTGTGGTTTGATGATCTAAATTCGCGGGTCGGTTCTGGGATAGCTAGAGGCTACCAGGTCCTGCTGTAACAGAAACAGCAGACGTGTCCAGAATTTTCATAGCGCATGGGGGAAACCAGACTCTCCCAGAACCGCAAGCCTAGAAATCTGTGAGATTCCACTTGATTTCCCTGCTTTTGGGAGGAGGCTTTTGACCATAAAATGCCGTCTCATCATGAAGCTGACTTTCACCAAGGTAGGCCCTTTCCCTTACTGCAGTGGGAGCCGCACCACCACTGGGCACAGTGAGGATACCAGGGTGGGCTCCTGCCCATGCCCAGGACGGTGTGTGGGCTGGACACCACTGGGGTGAGTCCTGAGGACGGACAGGCGAGGGGCGTCCAGGCTCGGCCACAGCCCTCACGGAGCCTCAGCTCAAAGGGCTTTTCAGGTCAGATGCTAAAACCGTGAGAAAACAGCTGCTTTCCAGCAAAGAGCCTGACGCATCCGCTTGGGGAATCCTCTGACCAGTCCTCTCCAGACCGTCTGGGTTGTGACAGACAAGGGCAGACCAAGGAGCCATCCCAGATGGAAAGGGTGTGGGGAAACCTGTGAAATGAGAATACAGCTGTAGGGAGGTTATGTACAATGTTCATGATGGGGAAGCAGCAGTCATGGGAGCCTGGAGGCTGTGGAGAGACCTACAGTGGGGCGGACGTGTGTGACAGCAAGGGCAAGAGGGGCGGTTGGCACCCATGGATGCTGCGCAAACACTCGGACCCTGATTTTCGCCAGACACCTGGAACGGTGCCCCGTGCCCCTCCCATGGCCCCTTTCTCCCCACCAGTGGATCTGTCTACCCGTTTCTTCTCCCCATGCAGGAAAAGTACCCAGATGCCGTGTACCTCTCGGAGGGGCCCTCCTCCTGCTCCATGGGGATCCGCAGCGCCAGCCGGCCAGGGTGAGCCTGCACAGGCCATGGGGCCTCCCATTTCCTGTTCAAACAAGGATTCCAAGTAGGAGACCACCTAAGTAGGATTCTAAGTAGTAAACTACCTAACCAAGAACTAAAGGTCGTCGGTTGGAGGAATCAGTGGTCCCAGCAGATATGCCCAGTATGGGGGTGCGGGGAGCTGGAGCTCTGGAGGATGTGCTGGGCCGCAGGGGGAAAACGCCAGTCCTGGGGCCCACCCCAGGACTTATGGGGTCAAGGAAGGGAGGCTGGGAGAAAGTGGAGATGCTTGTGGATCTGCTGTTACTTCAGAAATCGAAGGGAGGAAGCCAGGGGTGAGTGGAAAACCCCAAAGCAATGAGAAGAAACAGGACAGGCTTAGTGCCCTGATAGCACAGCTGATCCCTCCACCAGCCCCGGCGCCACCCTGGCCCGTGCCGTGTTCTCCATCCTCTTCCCTTGGCTGTGCATGTGTGGACATGTATCCATCTGGGTGTGCTTTTATGACCTGTGTGTGAATGCCTCAACTCAACTGGTTTCCAAGCTTTAAAATCATGTGGTCCTTATGCAGGCTTCTGGGACTTGCCTTTGTCACCGTTCACCTCCTCCAGGGTCATGAGCAGCTGCAGTGCAGTTTCACTGCTCATCCTCCCGGAGGGGATCATACACAGCGTCTTGCTGCGCTCTTCAGCTCTGGAGCACGTGGCTTCTTTGTTCTGGCTCACACCTCCTGGCACACAGTACATAAGCTTCTCCTGGGCTCAACTGCCTAGAAATGAAATTCCTGTGTCATGCATGGATGCATGTTCAGCTTACTGTCAGTGCCAGATTATTTCCAAAGTGGCTTGTCCATGTCTGCTCCCACCAGTAATTTTGAAGTTTCTGTTGCTCCATGTTCTGTACTTCGCTGGTATTGGCCTACTAATGTTTGCCAATGCAGTGGGGACAGAGCAGCACCTTCCTGTGATCCTGGTTCCATTTGCCTGTGCTACTGACTGTGCCTCTTCTTGGCTGTGGATTGGGGTTTCTAGCAGGGGAGCCCAGCATGGGGAAATGGAGACCAGGTGCGACTCATGGTTGCTAATCTTTTCGCCAGATTTCAAAAAGCACATAACGACATGTTTTACTGCTTTTTCAGGTTTGAATTAGTCATTGTTTGGAGGATACAAATAGATGAAGATGGGAAGGTTTTTCCAAAGCTGGATCTTCTCACCAAAGTCCCACAGCGAGGTAGGGCCCTGGGTGTGGCTGCTCTAGGTGACTTCTCAACATGCCCAGCAAAGCCGCCTGCCTGTTTCCTCTGGGTTTCAAAGGGCAAGAATCAAAAATTGGAAATCTCATTAATGTACTTTGTCTATCAATTTTTAAATATTTTTATCAATAATCACTCAAAAAGAACATGAAAAGGGATTGCTGCCCCAAGGCCCTCCCAGGCTGAATGCACAGGGAATATGCCTCCAGCCGTAGGTGAGGCCTCCACTCACTCCATCTCCTCGCCCGCCACTAGCATGTCCCATCCCATGCAGCTAGTCGGGAGGAGTGCGGGGTCTTGGTGAGGTCCATGCCAGCAGAAAACAAAAGACCAAAAGCTGCCACCTTGAAGTTTCTTACCCGGTTTAATGTTTTCTTTATAGCCCTGGAGCTGGACAAGAACAGAGCCATAGAAACTGCTCCTCTCAGCTTCCGAACCCTGGTAGGACTGCTTGGAATCGAAGCTGCTCTGGAAAGCCTGATAAAATCGCTTTGTGCAGAGGAGAACAACTAGTTCCAAAACAGTGAACGTGGAGGATGAAGATGCTGCGTGGAGGAACATGCAATTTTATTCAATATAAACATTTGCTATTTTCTGCTTAGAAACCACACCCTGAAGACGTGCTGTCTATGCAGTTATGGCACATTATATGGAAACTCTCATGACATGAAAAATAAATACAACTAGTTAAGTATAAAATGCCAAATAAAAGTGACACGTACAATGTGGTTTATAAAAATAAGCTTAACATCTGAGAAAATGTACCAAGTGGTTGTGTGTCCTCAGATGTGTGGGGAGGATCCATCCCCCACCCACTGCAGCCTCACACCGAGTCCACCTTGGACATGGTGGCCACATTACTCAGCTGGGAGAAGCCACCCTTATCCTGGTTCCTGCCTCCTGGGGGCTCTGGAGACGGATGCCTATGGCGCCTCATCTTTAAACTGTCCTTAGTAGCCCAGGGGAGCCACACCCTCACTCCCTGCCTCCCCCCGGTCCGCATGGTGGCACCGTGAGGCAGTCTCAGCAAGTCCTCATGCTGTTCTTGGTCTTCCACAAGAAAGTGAAGCTGTCAGCTTAATAACAAGAATGGCCTAAGACAGCAAAGACAGCACTGTTCCTGGGCTGGGACGCAAGGAATGAGGTCCTTTATGAAAGAAAGACCCCCCTGCATAGCCTAAGTGCTATATCGATCGTCCCGGATGTGCCTTAAGAACCGTGACCTCATCAGTCGCCCATTTAGCATTGTTAAGATCTGTGAACGCGTGTTGTCTCAAACCAGTCAGGGCCGTCATGACTACGCAGCAGCAGCAGTTTCCAAGACGGGCCAGAAACGCATCCACAGCAGTGGCACCCGCGGCTCAGGGGCTCCTCACAGCCCGGGCTGGTGGGAGCCAAGACCAGACAGAGTGGGGGTCTCCATCTGTTTTCTCTTCTCCCTCAAATACAGGCTGTTTTCATCGTGTCTAGTCCAGCCCTGTCTGGGCCCTGTGCTAGGCAATAACTCTTGCAGCCCTGAAGGACCTAGGGAGCCCAGCCCACCTTCCCACGGACTGGGGTTCCCTCACATGTGCACTTGAACCCAGGACCCAGCATCCTCCACACACCGTGACAATGGGCAAAATCATCCCAAACCAGGCTGCCCCAGCCCCAGCCCAGCAACAGTGAACTCCCTTGGGTCAAGACAGTACTCAACGGCCACTACCTCCACGCTTCCCAGAGCCTGCGGCTTGTCCGTGAGCTCCGTGCACTTCACCAAAGCCCCCATCCCAGCACACAGGACCCGTGTGTATGAGACGGTGTCATTGGAAGTGAGAAGAAAACAGTAAAAGTGTCCAGTTAGATAAGTATCTTTTTGCACCTCTGAGAGTAGAATTAGAAGTAAATATGACAGAATTGAACAATAAATTCTAGAAGAGTTGCCTTGATTCAAACAAGTATAATTCTCAAGTTATCACAAAATTTCCCACAAAAATTTACAATCAGCAAAATAGTTTCCTTATTTCTCATGTATCATTTTCATATAATTCCATGGTTTCACTAATATTATATGTTACAATAAGCCTCCATTAGTCCCTCAAAACGATGATATAAATAAGTCTGTACAACCTAGCATAGAATAAAAAACTGAAACCAAGATTCCCAACGTTTTTCATAGCAGCCGGGCACACTTTGGTGACCCCAACGAGAACCCTCTCGGCAGCAGCCAGGAGCTGTTCACCTTCCAGAAGCAGGGCCTGTGGCAGCCTAACAGGGAGAGGCCACGGGGCCCAAAAACGCAACACGTCTCAAGGCAAACCCGAGGGAGGAACTTGGTCTGGGAGGAAGAGAGAACTCGCTCCTCAACCACCCCAGACACTGGAGTGTCAGGAAAGCACTGAGCTGTTGGGGCACACTGCCCAGCCCGGCCACAGCAGCTCAGCCAGTCACAGCTCCACCTCCAACTTCTACAGCAGCAATTTTTAGTGGGAAAGAACAGCTCATCTCCCCCTCATGTGAAAGATTAAATTGTAAAGCAAAAAAAAAAAGGTCAATGCTCGCATGAGTGGTGTCCATCCTGACCTGAGCCTTGCGCTCCCTGCTGCCCTGTGTGGAACTGTGGGCTTCAGCACCTCCACAGGGACCCTGAGTCTACACTGCTCAGAATCGGCATCTGCGCGACCACGAGGTCACGCTGTGCAGCAGGGAACCACCTAAAAACCTGTGTTGATATGTGGCTTGCACTGAAAAAGTGACCATGTAACTCAGCTGGGGGAAGTTCCAGTAGTATCCATGTTTTCTTAAAAGTCCAAACTGTAAAATGTATGTGACAATTCAAGTTTTCTATGTTAGGAGTCTGGTGGTAGCAGATCCAAACCTTGGGTCTTAGAATAAGGCTTTTCGCATTAGAGAATCAGACATGAGCCCTGGTTGGGAAAGAAGAACTATCCAGAACGTCTTCCCAGGGCTTAACGGACACTTCCATTTTAAGAGTGTGAGCAGCTTCCTGGGACACAGCACTCACTTCCTACATTCCTTGTCCAGGAAGTTGTTTCTAGTGCTCTTCAATTCCATGTCTCCAAGAGGCAATCCCACCTCAAAAGGGGTTAAAAGCAAAAACATTCACAACCAAAGGTCACCCAACACAACAGAAAATATCTCTATCATTCAGCCTTCACATTATGTTCAAGTTTCAAAGACACTGCAGGGAAAGAGTTAGACCTTGTGGAGAACTAATGTGCAATCTTCGCTTTCCTTGAACCGAGTCGACATCACGGCGTTGTCTTTGGCACGTACAGTCTTTGAATAATAGTTGACGATCTTGCCGTCCAGTTTATACTGATGGGGAATGCTCTCGTAGGGCTTGAGGTCAAGGTCCAGCACAGACACGGAAAAGGCAAACCTGGACCTCGATGAAGGGACGACAGGCCTTTGATCAGAGCTGCAAGTAAAAAGTACCATTTCAGGATACACAAGCCCCCCATTCATTTCCCTCCCTCCCGTTCTCTCTCCCTTTCTTCTTTCAACTAGTATGTTTTTATGTTTTTTCTTTGACTTCTGCAAAGTTAGATAAATCAATCTCTTTTAAAAGAGAAGTGAATGGCCTCACACCCCAGCTCACAAAGAGCACTCGTTCTGTGCACCTGTGATCTGTGCGTGTGACAGCTGTCTGTGCCGGCTGTGTGCACCAGCGTGCAAAGCTTCCTCAGGCCAGTGCACCCCACCATACCAGGCGAGAGAGGGTTAAAGGACTGAAAGATGGAAAAGTAATTATGTGGAACATGTGAGCGATGTTCCCCCAGCCCAGTGGTATAAACGAACGCTGAAAAATCACTTTATCATGAGCCAAGTATTACAAAACCCAACAAAAAGTAAAAAGTAGATCTGGCCATTCCAGCGCCAAATGGATGGAATGTCGACAAGCCTTCTTCTTTGCCTCTCCTGTCTGCTGAGAAACGCAAGCTCCTTTGGTTCACATTTGAAGAGATCTGGTTTCTCATTTTATTCTCAAATTTTATCTTCAGTCCTTTGTATTTTGCTTCTCAGGGCTTAGTTTTGTGGTTTTAACCTCAGAAGTCGTGTGCTTATAACAAGATGTGATTAATTATTTGCCCTGAAAAACACATTTAGGATTACTCCGAGTCCTGAGCTCTGACTGCTGTGTGTCCCGCTTTTCGTCTCCGGGCACTCAGCGCACAGCACTCAAGACACTGGCTAAACAAGTGACCTAAGCTCAGTTCAGTCCAAGAGAAGTATCCTGGGTTCTGGTGTCCCAATGTTTACTACGCTTTGAGATTTAGAAATCAACAAGCCAAACCCCAACTTCAAAAGCTCCTGCCGAGGAGAGGAAATACTGATCAGCACGTCCCTGCTCTGACGCTGCTCACCATGGCCTTGGCGCTCACTGCTGCCCTGCCCCAGAATCCTGTTTGTAGAAAAAACAAATCCCTGACTAAGCTGCTGGGGTAAGTAACTATTCTCATCTGAAGAGTAAACAGCAAATAACTCATTTACAAATTAAGGTCATGAGTCTCGCTCCAGAAGCTGGAGTGTGCCTGCAGCTCATCCCAAGGGGCCACATTTTATTGGGAGAACCTCAGAAGCCCAAGGTACTGCTCAGTTCTGAGGCCTGAGACCCAAGCTGGGTGCACCTGGGCTGGAACAGTCACATCCCCAGCCCATGACTAGGGTTACGTATTTTAAAGGACACCCCAATTTCTCAGAAGCAGCACCTGACAAGACCATGGGTGTAAAGACAGGAAGGATGTTCCAGGCAGCTCCCGGGGAGGGTCTGACTACCTGGGTCAACCACAAGCTAGCTCCATGGGAACCAATGGCAGTGACCAGCGGGCACCAGCTCCTGACACAGAAATGCTCTTCTTCCCCCTCAGTACCCCGGAGGCCAAGACTGGGCAAGAGGCCCCAGGGACACACCTGTCCCTTGTGCCACAAGTGTGCCCTCTAGCAGCCTTGGAGAATGAGGCTCAGGTGGCCTTCTGGCTGCAGGGGGGCAGCCCTTGCCTGGAAGGCCGTTCTCCAGGACACTGACCCGCTGGGGGTTACCGGGGGACCAGCAGCCTCCAAGGGTGCTGGGGATCGGGGTGGAGAAGCCAAGGCCGCACACTGTGTTTCAAATGGGAGGTCGAGAGGAGCATCAGGGTTTAGGCCGGGAAGCTGTGGCAGCTCTCTCCACAGTTCCAAATTCCCAAAGGGACAAAGCTCTGCAGCGACAGGAAGGCAGATCCAACTTGAGACATTTTCCTTTATGACAGGGCAGAAACAGTAGTGCAGAGCTGGAGAAGCCTTTATTTTAGGGGGTGTAAGAAGTTTAAATGTGGTCAATCTATCTGTGAGCTGCAAATTAGTCTAGGGATCTAAATTTAGTCTCAGGTCTACCAGGTATCTCAAGACGCCAAGATGACTCATGATAAATCCCAGCCTTAGTTTGTCCCTAGGCCTCTAGAGCACCACAGTTACTGGAACTTCACAGGTGCGGCCACTGCGCACACCTTCCTGGAAGCAGGCCCAGCCCCACACGCCATGTTCTCGGAGGAGAAGCCTTCTCTGAGATCCTCTCCTTTTGTTGAGAAAGGCCTGGCTAGAGTGCTTTGTGCAGGATGGTTCCAGTGCCTACACCCTAGGTCTGAGAAGCCACATGGCTCAGTGCCTTCAGGACATGCCCTCCCCTCCCCTCCTAGTGTCGTTTCTGCTGAGCAGCTGGTCGTAAGGACCCGGGCCTTCAGCTTTCCCCGCATGCTGGCTTTCCAATTTGACATCACTGACCAGGCACTAAGAGATTCCCAGGTGCTAGACGAGGTGAGTAACATGTCTGTCCTTCAGCGGCCTTTCACAGCCCACCTAAGGGCACCCTGCATCCAAGCACATTTCCATTGCCCAGCTGCATCCTTGGTCGGGGGGCTGCTGAACAGTGGTATCTTCGTGGGTTTTCTCTCATCGAACACCACCAGCTTAATCCAGTTAAGGAATTCCTCATAACTTAGCCCTGTAGGTATTTCCTTAGGGGATAACAGGAGTTTTCAACTAAATAGAACAACCTTTTTTCTACTTCAGTTAGCCCTATAATGTTCCTCAGTATTTCATATTGGAAAGTAAACAATTCTGTGCCTGCCAGGGAACAGGAATCCTGGGAACTGTTTAGTTCAAAAGCACCGGGAAAGTGAGTGGCTGGCAGCCAGCAACCAAGGTCATCTTGACCCAGGAACACATGTTAGAAGAATGTGGAACATTCCGCAAATACTGGGTGCAGGGTTTAGCACCCCTGAAGATCGGTGATGGAGATGCTGTCTAACGACTATGAGATTATCAGTTTCATCCCGAATTCCCAGAAACAGAGGGGACTGGACAAAACTAGTGACATTAGGGAGAGGGGCGGCACATAGGCTGGTTATTCAGAAGAGGAAGCAGAATGAATGCGCGCCTCACAGGCTTTCAAATGACTGTGGTGGTAAAAAGGCAGGTGCGCCATGCTGCCACTGTGGGAGACCGAGGAACAAGGGCCACAGGTACCCACACATCTCAGGGGCTGGCTTTCTTTGAGGGAATGCAATGGGCAGCTCACTGTCCACATTGTTTCTGAGCTCTTGGGAGTATTTTCTTAGAAAACAGTAACTTTCAATGTACTAACAATCCTTTTAAGTTATTCTCCATAAATCTGTCTTTTGACTGAATTACAAGCTTCTAGAGGGCGAGAGTTAGTAAGCCCCATGATGTCACATAGGCCAAGGAAGTTATGTCACTCCGCCATGGAGTCTCTAAATATGGGGAAACCAACTATCCTATTAACAATTCACCAACTGTCCATAAAACCCCGTTAGACCCAGGCTGCATGCCTTGCAGTGGGGGCCTCACCTGGCATCCTGCAGACAGGGAGACAGTGCAATCATGATGGAGCAGTCCTTGGCAGTCATGGCGACGCGGTACTGCTGCACCTGCAGGGGCGGGAAAGATCAGCTCCAGGTCACACAGGAAGCCTCTGCCCCCCCACACAACCTTCCTTCCCAGTAGCCAAGTGTGGGAACTGCTTCCTGCCTCAGAACCTGAGGGTGGGATTAGGAGCGAGGGCCACGGTGAGCACGGGCGTCAGGAGGTCGCCCTGTGAGAGCACCTGGGCCAGCCCTCAGTGCCACGGGGCTGCTCAGAGGCCAGCACCGCCCCCTGACCTCTCACGGCAAGCAGTGTGGGACCCCGACTCCAGACCCTGAGACGGATGATCTGTCTTCAGCAAGGTCACCACAGTCGGCCTTTGGAAGGAAAAGCAGTAAGCCACCTGAGCCCCGCATGTTGGCCACACTCAGAGTATCAAGTGAGTATCACTCGACACCTGCAAGGAGAGCGCAGGGGGTGTTCAGCAAGGCATCGCTTAGAACGACATTCCCTCCGGAACATCATACAGCCACCAGAGACAACGGCAGACGGCCACCCTTCTACAGGCTGTGCATGTGTTAACTTGCTCCACCCTCACAGCAGCCCAACAGGGCAGCACGGCCGGCGTCCCACTTTACAGACAAGCAACAGACACAGACATCACTTGTCTGTCATGCCCTGCTTGTCAATGGCAAGGCAGGGACTCAAACCCGGTACGCTGGCTCTGACATTTACACTCTTCAACACATGCTCCAAGCTATGTGGGTCTGTCCATACTGACCAGGGACAGCTCAACACACACCACACTGTCAGAGTCGACATACGTAAAGCTGTACATGTGCACATGTGTGTGACGCGGGCAGGGAGAAAGGTGAAGGACAGGCACCACAATGCTCACAACTGTCTCCTCTACAGAGCAGAATGTGAGGCACTCTCTCCTCTTCCTTCTTTGGACTTTCATATATGGTTTGCATTGTTTTAGATGGCATAGCTCTCGCTTTCACAAAAATAAACAGTTGTAAAAGAAAAGGAATTGGGCCTCACACATCACTGGCCTCAATATTTGTACTGATGACAGACCATCATCTCCTGTCTCCCTTTTAACCACTCCCCTCAATTGCATATAACCTGGAGGATCTGGCGTTCGAAAACATCCAAGCTGCACTTTCCAAAGGGCAGGACTGGATGGGAGGGAGTGGGGAGAACCTCAAAGCACGGATTTAGCTCAGGCCCACACACTATTCTTGGGGCCTGAGAAAACCTTTCACAGCAGATGGAAATGAGCAGCTCCTATCCTTACACTCTATTCAGTTAGCTAGAGTACAAATGGATCAAAAGTTGATTCTTAGGAAACTAAACTCTTGGTGGGAATGATTAAGGGAGTGTCCTAGCCCCTTCAGGCTGCTATCACGAAATGCCCAAAACTGGTAGCTTATAAACAACAGAAACTTGTTTCTCACAGTTCTAGAGGCTGGGATGTCCAAGACCAGGGCGCCAGCAGATCTGCTATCTGGCGAGAGCCGACTTCCTTATCCACAGCCCTCTTTTCACTGTCACTTCACATGGTGAAAGGGGCTGGCTTGCGCTCTGGGGTTTCTTGTATAAGGGCCTGAATTCAAATCATGAGGGCTCTACCCTCATGACCTAATCACCTCCCAGAGGCCCCACCTCCTAACACCATCACCTTGGGAGTTGGGATTTCAACATATAAATTTGGGGGGGTGGGAGGGTAAAACATTCAGACAGTAGCAGAGAGGGAGAGAAATCAAATATCAGACATCTGGAATAAAAGAGCATACTTCAAATCCTATAAACATGAAAAGATAATAAAAGAACATTACCCAACAACATCATATGCCAAAATTCTGAAAACATAGATAAAACAAAAAATTTCTAGAAAAATACAACTTACTAAAATTTGAAACTTTCCTACAAAGACAACTATGGGGCCTAGCTGATTTCACAGCTGATTCTACAAAGCATTTAAGTCAGAAATAATACCATTCCTTTTTTTTTTTTTTTTTTTTTTTTGAGACAGGGTCTCGTTCTGTTGCCCAGGCTGGAGCACAGTGGTACCATCACAGCTCACTTACAGCCTCGACCTGCAGGGCTCAAGTAATCCTTCCATCTCAGTCTCTCAGGCAGGTAAGACTACAGGTATGCACCACCATACTCGGCTGATTTTTAATTACTTTTATTAGAGACGAGGTCTCGCTATGTTGCCCAGGCTGGTCTTGAACTCCTGAGCTCAAGTGATCCTCCCACCTTGGCCTCCCAAAGTGTTGGGATTACAGGTGTGAGCCACTGAACCCAGCCGTTGTTAATCCACCTCTTCCAGGCAACAGAGAAAGAGTAAACAGACCATCTTTTAAGTGTTTTACGGGCAGGTCTAGGCCTCGACACCAAGGCTGAACACAGACATTACAAAAAGAGAAAGCACAGTTCTTATCACTCATAAACATCTGCCAAAATCCCTAAACAAAATATTAGCAAACCCAATTATCATCATACAGAAAAAGAACACATCACAACAAATTGCATAATTAACCACGTTAACAGAAAATATTTTGGTCATATGATCATCTCAATAGAAATAGAAAAGGCATTGATAAAGTTCAACATCTGCTCCTGATTTTAAAAAATCCTCTTAATAAATCAGGAAAAGAAGGGAACAAACTTCTTTAATCTGATGTCAGCCACTTAAGGAAAAAAAAACCTACATTAAACAATTTACTTGATGGTAAAATGCTTTTGAGATTTGGAACAGGACTAAAATTCATACTATCACAAATTAACTACATAAAGTGAAGTAAAATAAAGAAGTGAAAGGTATAAGGATTGGGAAGGAAAGGGAAAACATCAAATTCACAGACTACGATTACATATAAAGAAAATCCAAAAGAAACTATAATCGTTAGGATTAATACAAGTGAGCAAAGTTGATGTATGCAAAGTCAAAATAGAAAAACCAATCACATTACTGCATAATCAAACACTTTTAAAGTAAGATCTTTTTAAAGATGCCATTTACATCTAAAACCATCAAATATCGTGAAATTAATATAAGACCTCTCTGAAGAGAACCATAAAACATTTTTATCAGAATAATATATATATATATAAAAGTTTAAATGTCCATGTTGGAAGACTCAGTATTGTATAGATTTCAACACTCATCATTTTAACGCTACACCATGAAAATCCCAGTGGCTTTTTTTTTAGTTTTTAATTTTTGTGGGATAGCAGTTTTGTTTGTGCTTTTCCTGCAGAACTGAGTGAGGTGATTCTCAAATTCATGTAGATATGCAAAAGGTCGAGAACAGCCAAGATATGCTTGAAGAAGACAGAAGGATTTGTCAGATATCAAAGCTTGTTATGACTCTGTAGTGTTCACAATTTCTGTGACGACAGGATAATTCCATTTGAAAAGAAAATAAAACCCCACCTCCTGCCATTTCAAAAATCAGTTTCAGACAGTCACCCAACAAAATGTGAAAGACAAAACAATAAATTTTCTAAAGATATGGCAGGAAAATATCTTCAGGACCTTAAGGCAAAGAAAGACTTCTTAAAAGGGAAAAAGACTGGTAAATTAGGCTACCTTAACATTATGAACCGTTCTTATAAGGACTCCATTAAGAATCAAAAGACGGGCCAGGCACAATGACTCACACCTGTAATCGCAGCACTTTGGGAGGCCGAGGCAAGCGGATCACAAGGTCAGGAGATCGAGACCATCCTGGCTAACATGGTGAAACCCCGTCTCTACTAAAAATACAAAAAATTAGCCAGGCATGGTGGCGGGTGCCTGTAATCCCAGCTACTCGGGAGGCTGAGGCAGGAGAATGGTGTGAACCCGGGAGACGGAGCTTGCAGTGAGCCAAGATCGCGCCACTGCACTCCAGCCTGGGCGACAGAGCGAGACTCCGTCTCAAAAAAAAAAAAAAAAGTCAAAAGACAAACTACATAGGCTACATAGTGGGAAAAGATACCTACTGGACACAAAATTGACAAAGGGCTTCTATCCAGAATATACAAAGAATGCCTTCAAATCAATAAGAAAAAGACAACTCTACCAAAAAAAATGAGCAAGAGACTTAAATTGTGACTTAAATAGATCACAAAAGGAAAAATCCAGTAAACATATGAGAAGGTACTTAATCTCATCACAAGATACCACTACACACACACCAGAATGGGTGAAATTCAGAAGACCCACAACTAAGTGTAAGAGATGGTGTGGAGCACAGGTGACTCCTAACCGGTTGCAGGGAACATAATCAGGTAAAACTGTTTTACAGTAGCTACTGAAACTAAGTATACTCATCCCTGTGGCCCAGAAATCCCACTCCTAGGGATATATCCAAGAGAAATGTGTGCACATGTACACAAAATCTGTACAAGAATATTCATAACCGCCAAAAACTAGGAACAACCCAAATGTTCATAAAACAGCAGAACAGATAAATTGTAGTACACTAAGTCCTCACTTAATGTTGTCACTGGGTTCTTGGGAAACTGTGACTTGAAGCCAAACAATGTATAACAAAACTAGGCCAGGCACAGTGGCTCACGCCTGTAATCCCAACACTTTGGGACACCAGGTGGGAGGACTGCTTGAGCCCAGGAGATCGAGACCAGCCTGAGCAACATAATAAGACTGCATCTCTACAAAACATTTAAGAAATTAGCCAGGCATGCCAGGCACAGTGGTTCACACCTGTAATCCAGCACTTTGGGAGGCTCAGGTGGGTGGATCACGAGGTCAGGAGTTCCAGACCAGCCTGGCCAACATGGTGAAACCCCATCTCTACTAAAAAATACAAAAATTAGCAGGTGCCTGTAATCCTAGCTACTCAGGAGGCTGAGTATTACTTGAACCCGGGAGGCGGAGGTTGCAGTGAGCCAAGATCGCACCACTGCACTCCAGCCTGGGTGACAGAGCAAGACTCCATCTCCAAAAAAAAAAAAGGAAGAAATTAGCCAGGTGTGGTGACACATGCCTGTGCTTCCCAGCTACCTGTGAGGCTGAGGTGGGAGGATCACCTACCTGAGCTCAGGAGGTCAAGGCTGCAGTGAGCCATGATCGTGCCAGTGCACTCCAGCCTGGACGATGAAATGAAACTCTGTCTCAAAAAAACAAAAATAAAAACAAAGCCATTTCTTTTCTCATCGTTATGATAAAACAACATTGAACAAAATGATGTTATTTGAGGACCTGCTGTATAGGTCACTTCACTTAAAGTCACAGTTTCCACGAACCTGTCAAGGATGCTGAGAAAGGACTTACTATATATCCATTCATGGATCACTCTAAAGTAAATAGAAATGTGGCAATAAAGTAAATAGAAATGTGGCAATGGGTGCACTAGCAAAGGTGAATCTCATAAATATTACACAGAGCTAAAAAAAAAAAACAAACAGGAGACATGAATATATACAGCATGATCTCGTAAGTCAAGTTCAAAAACAGGACAGACTAAACTACAGGGATGTAAGTCAGTACAACAGTTAACCCTGGGAGGAAGGAGAAAGGTCTGGTTGGATGGGACAACAGGAATTCTGATTGCTGCCAGTGTTCCATGTCCAAATATAAGTGGTGGTTCCATAAGAATTTTTACTTTGTGACAAGTCAGTGGGTTGTATATTTTTTTCTGTGTACCTTTCTGTATTTGCTAGTATTTCACAATGATTAATGAAGCAAAAGTTTAGAAAATTAAAATAAAACATTTAAATATTAGTAATATCTAGTGTTCGCAAGGACATGGGGAAACTGTCTTCAACTGTTGCAAGAAGAAATATAATTAGTAAAATCTTTTGGGGAGGACAATGTGACAGGATCTATCAAAAATAAACCCTGCAATTTTACATCTAAAAATCTGTCTTACAGAAATGCTATGTTAAGTGCACAACGGTAGATGTACAAAAATGTGAATGTCAACGTTATTTTTAATACCAACAAATTAATACCCAAGTAACTAACAGTGGTGTGAACACACTAAAGAGACAGGATTATGGAGGACATCCAACAGCCCTTCTAAAAACAACTAGATCCCTGAAACCGCTCCTTTTAACGTGTTGTTGGGCTTGCATAAGGTAAGGAAAATCCCTAACCCAACCCCCTCTTCTCACCACCCACCCACAAAGAGCTGCAACTAGAGTTTTGAGCATGAAGCAACTGGGAAGGCTGAGCTGTCCTACAGTCCAGTGCCACTATCAGCACTGATTCTAGGAATAAGCCACAGGGTAGAGGATCTATCTAAACCAGAGACTCTTCCCTTTTGCCAAAGATCCCTATCCTCTCTGGAAGAAGGCATCCCCTATTTGGGTCTCCAGGATTCCTATAGATTAAGATCAAACAAATCAACAAGGCAAACAAAATCAAGCAAGGCAACACGGATGAGTCAGCCAAAATAAGAGATTTTTTTTTTTTAACCACCAAGGTTTTATTGTATCTGATATCAGAATATAAAATAACTTCATAAATTGCTTAAAGAAATAAAAGACAGAATTTTGAAATAGACAAGCCACAAGGAACTAGAAAAAAATACCAAGGAGATGTGAAAACAAACCAAATAGAATTTTCAGAAATTAAAGATAGAACTACTGAAATGGGGCCAGGTGTGGTAGCTCACGCCTGTAATCCCAGCACTTTGGGAGGCTGAGGTGGGCGGATCACAAGGTCAGGAGATTGAGACCATCCTGACTAACACGGCGAAACCCCATCTCTACTAAAAATACAAAAAATTAGCTGGGCGTGGTGGCAGGCGCCTGTAGTCCCAGCTACTCGGGAGGCTGAGGCAGGAGAATGGTGTGAACCCAGGAGGCGGAGCTTGCAGTGAGCCAAGATCGCACCACTGCACTCCAGCCCGGGTGACAGAGCGAGACTCCATCTCAAAAACAAAAAAAGAACTACTGAAATGGAAAACTCGATAAACAAGTGAAATGGCAGATTAGACACAGCTGAATGAATCAATGAACTGGAAGATAGAGCTGAAAAAAGAAAAGCACCTGGAATGTAGCACAAGGAGACAAAGATATGAAAAATATGAAAGAGCAGTTAAGATGTGTGGGAGATAAAATAAGGTTTGACATAGGTCAAATTAGAGTCCCAGAAGAAGTGAATATGATAATGGAGAAGAGAAAATATTTGAGAAAATGAGAATTTTCCAGAACTAATAAAAGACATAAATCCACAAATAGAGAAAGCATAACATACACCAAACAGGAAAAATATAAAGCACAGCACACCCAAATCACATTGCACTAAAATGTCAAAAGGACAAGAAAGAGGTAGAGAAGACCTTAAAAGCAGCCAGAGAGAAAAGACAGATCACCTACTGAGCAAGGACAGACTATCAGAAGACATCTTAACAGCAAAAACCAGATGTTGTATGAAATGTTTAAATGCTATTAAGAAAAAAAAAAAACAGAAATGAAGCCCTTCTGTGCACCCAGATAAAAAATTATTTTCAAAACTGTGGACAAAATATGAATATATTCAGATACAGAGGGAATTTACCAAAAACCCTTCACTAAGATAGCTTCTAAAGAATATTCTTCAAGAAGAGGAAGAAAACTATAAATATCTGTAGGCCAATAAATTAGAAAACTTAGATAAACTGAACACTTCCCTAAAAAGACACAAACTACCAAAACTGACTTAAAAGCAGACAATATGATTAGACCTATAACAATTAAAGAGAATGAATTAAAAATAAAAAAACTATCCACAAAGAAAAGCCCACTCAGATGGCTTCACTAGTGAATTCTGTCAAATATTTAAAGAATAATTAATACCAATCCATCTCAACTTCTTCCAAAAAATAGAAGAGGCTGGAACACCAACTCATTCTATGAGGCCAGTGTTACACCCCGATCCCAAAAACAAAGACATCACAAGAAAACGAAACTACACACTATCTTAAGAATATGGATATGAGAATCCTCAATAAAATAATCAAAAACTGAATCCAGCAACATATAAGAAGGACAAGACGCCATGACCAAGTGGGATTTAGCCCAGAAATACAAAGTTGGTTTTAACACCAGAAAATAAATTTATGTAATACACCACATTAACAGAATAAAGGACAAAAACCACATGATAATCTCAAATGATATAGAAAAGGCATCTAACAGAATCCAACACCCTTTCAGAATAAAAACACTCAGCAAATCAGGAAGAGAAGGGAACTTCTTCAATCTGATAAAGGAATCTACAAAAAACAACTAACATCATACATGACGATGAAAGACTGAACACTGTCCCCATAAGACCAAGAACAAATCAGGGATGTCTACTCCTGCCATTTTTATTCAACATTGTACTGGAGGCTCTAGTCAGGAAATTACGCAAGAAAAATAAATCAAAGGCATCCAAATTGGAAACGAAGAAGCAAAACTATTTCTACTCACACATGATCTTAAATAGAGAGAATCCTAAAAAAATCCACTAAAAAACTATTAGAACATACAAACTCGGCAACGATGCAGGCTACAAGATCAATATACAAAATCAAATTGTATTTCTACACCTGAATACACTTGTAATGAGCAATCTGAAAATGGAATTCAGAAAACAATTCCATTTACAACAGCATTAAAAAGAAAATATTTTAGAAATAAGTTTAACAAAGAAGCATAAAACCTTAGTTTACACTCTGAAAACTAAATAACAATGTCAAAAGAAAACCAAGATCTAAATAAATGGAAAAATATCTCATGTTCATAGATCAAAAGACTTACTACCCAAGGTGACTTACAGATTCCTCAAGTCCCTATGAGAATCCCAGCTGGCTTCTTTGTAGACGAAGCTGATTCTAAAATTCATATGGAATTACAAGAGGCTCCAAATAGTCACAACAATCTTGAAAACAAAGACCAAAGTTAGAGAACTCACACTTCTCCATTTCAAAACCTACTAAAAAGCAGTAGTACTCAAGACAGGGTACTGGCATAAGTGCAGACATATAGATCAATGAACAACTGAGCATCCAGAAATAAAGCCATACATCTATGGTCAACTGATTTTCAAGAAGGATGTTAAGATCACTCAACGGGGAAAGAATAGTCTCCTCAACAAATGGTGCTGACCGGGCACGGTGGCTCACAACTGTAATCCCAGTACTTTGGGAGGCTGAGGCAGGCAGATCACTTGAGGCCAGAAGTTCAAGACCAGCCTGGCCAACATGGCAAAACCCTGTCTCTAGTAAAAATACAAAAAATTAGCCGGGCATGGTGGCACATGCCTGTAGTCCCAGCTACTTAGGAGGCTGAGGGAGGAGAATCGCTTGAACCCAGGAGGCAGAGGTTGTTGCAGTGAGCCAAGGTCGTGCCACTGTACTCCATCCTGGGTGACAGAGTGAGACTCTGTCTCAAAAAAAAAACAAAAAAATGGTGCTGGGACAACTGTATATCTACATGCAAAAGAATATTGTTGGAGCTGGGTGTTACGGTGCACACCTATAGTCCCAGCTACAGGGGAGGTTGAGGCAGGATTACTCGAGCCCAGGAGTTTGAAGCTGCAGTGAGCTACGAACACACCACTGCACTTCAGCCTGTGTGACAGAGCAAGACCCGACCCTGTCTCTGAAAAAAAAGAATGATGTCGGACCTCTACCTGAAATCACATACAAAATTAACTCAGAATGGATCAAACACCTAACTATAAGAGCTAAAACTATAAAACTATTAAAAGGGAACATGGGAAATCTTCATGACCTTAGATTTATTTAGCAATGAATTCTTAGATATGACACCAAAAGTATGAACAACCTAAGAAAAACTAAACTGTACTTCAACAAAATTAAAAATGTTTGTGCATCTAAGATATTACCAAGAAAGTAAAAAGGCAACCAACAGAATAGGAGAAAATATTTGCCAATCATGTATCTGATAAGGGTCTAGTAGCCAGAATATACAAAGAATTCTCAAGATAAATGACACTATTAAAAAGTAGGCAAAGGGGGCTGGGCACGGTGGCTCACACCTGTAATCCCAGCATTTTGGGAGGCCGAGGTGGGTGGATCACTTGAGCTCAGGAGTTCAAGACCAGCCTGGGCAACATGGTGAAACCTTGTCGCTAACAAAATACAAAAAATTAGCCAGGGATGGTGGTGTGCACTTATAGTTAGTCCCAGCTACTCAGGAGGCTGAGATTGCACTACTGCACTTCAGCCTGGGTGACAGAGAGAGATTCTATCTCAAAAAAAAAAAAAAAAAAGTAGGCAAAGGATCTGAATAGACATTTCTCTGAAAAAGATATATAAGTGGGCAACAAGCACATGAAAAGATGCTCTTAGTCTTCAGGGAAATACAAATCAAAACTACAAGATACCACTGCACACTCTCGACGACGGCTAAAATCAAAAGGACAAGTAATAACAAGTGTTGCTGAAGATGGGAAAAAAATAAAGACAACTTCATACACTGCTGGTGGGAAGATCGAACCGTACAGCAATTTTGGAAAAGTCTGCCCAGGTCCTCAAAAATTTAAACATAAAAGTGCCACTGGACCTAGCAATTCCACTCCTAGGCATATTACCCCAGAAAAGTGAAAACGCACATCCATGCAAAAAAACCCTGTACCCAAATATTGATAACAGCATTGAGCATAATAGCCAAAAAGAGGAAACAACCCAAATGTCCATCAATGGATGAATGGATATGTCCACCCCATGGACTATTACTGAGCCATGTAAAGGAATGAAGTACTGATGCATGCTACAACATGGATGAACCTTGAAGACATCAGGCTAAGTGAAAGAAGCCAGCCACAAACGACCACACATTCAATGACTCTGTTTATATGCAATATTTGGAAGAGACAAGTCTACAGCGATAGAAAGTAGACAGGTAGTTGCCTAAGGCTGGGGGTCATGGGGAGACAATGGGACGATAGCTAAAGGGTACAGGGTTTTTACTGAAGTGATGAAAATCTAAAATCAACTGTGCTGATGATTGCACGTATCTTTCAATACAGTCAAAACCGCTGCACTGAACACTTTCAGTGGGTAAACTGTATGGTATATAAATTACACCTCAATAAAGTTGTTACAGAAAAGAAGGAAAATGGAGAAATAGCTAAGCTACAAGAATGTTAGGCAGTGATATGGAAAAACACATGGATAAATCTAAACATCTGTGTAAAATAATACTCTAAATTATGACTAAAAAAAAAAATACCAAGACAAACAGAACAATACTGCACATAAGTTTGGAGAGACAACTGGAATTAAGTGTCCCAAGTCCTTATATTGTGTGTGGACTGGGAGTATGAAATAACTGATTAGACTTTAAATATGCAGGATCAAATTGGACAAGACACCACAAAAGGGAGAGAAACAGGAGTAACTTCCAAACACATAGAGCAAAAAATGACATAAAAAAAACTAATAAGTAAAAGTACACAGAGGTCAAAAAACTATGGGCTGGGGGCCAAATGCAGCCCACCACCTCCTGTTTTTGTTTTCCTGGAACTCAGCCCCACTCATGTTTTCTCCATGGCTCCTTTTGAGCTACAGTGGCCAGGCCGGGTACCTGCAACAGGGACCAGACATTACAAATGTCTGCTGACCCCTGCTACCAGATACTACACAACAGACAAAAGCAAGAGTTATTGGGGGCTTCAGTCTCCTGAGCACTGAAATGAAGACAATATTCCCTCTTTTCTTCAGCGGTACACAGTTCAATTTTTTTTTTTTTTTTTTTTGAGATGGACTCTCGCTCTGTCACCCAGGCTGGAGTGCAGTGGTGCAATCTTGGCTCACTGCAGCCTCCACCTCCCGGGTTCAAGCGATTCTCCTGCCTCAGCCTCCCAAGTAGCTGGAACTACAGGCATGCACCACCATGCCTGGCTAATTTTTGTATTTTTAGTAGAGACAGAGTTTTGCCATGTTGGCCAGGCTGGTCTCAACTGATCCACCTGCCTCAGCCTCCCACAGTGTTGGGATTATAGGCGTAAGCTGCCGTACCCGGCCCACAGGGTTCAATTAGATAAACAATATGAGTGCAAGAACTTTTGTGTAGGAAGGAATGTCCTCAGCCTACTCCTCAGCTTCAGCTTCACAACTACCCTCTTCAGGTTCAATTACCAGAAGCTAACTTCCTACAAGAGAAAAAGGGCAGGCCCTTCTATGACAGCACGGAAAGACCTCAAGCCACGTTTCTCCCACCAGTAACATCTTGCAAAGCTACAATATCACAGCAAGGTGAGTGATGCTGACACAATCCACAATCTTATTCAGATATCTCGGGTTTTACATATATGCGAGTGTGTATGAGAGTGTGTGTGTGATCACACGTAGGTTCATGCATCCACCACCACAGTCAAGATACAGAACAGTCTGATCACCACAGGGATCCCCTGGTTTGACCTTTTATAACCACATCTACCTCCCTTGTTCCTCCTTGCCAACCCCTGGCAACCACAAATCTTTGCCATTCAAGGATGTTATACACACAGAATCATTCAGTGTGACCTCTGGAGATTGGTTTTCGTCACCAACAAAGCCCCCTGGAGGTCCACCTGGGCTGTTTAGCAAGAGTCTGTTCCTTTTTGGTGCTGAGCAGAGTTCTGTGGTATGAATGCACAGTCTGTCTGACCCGCTGGAGGTCACCGTGGAAAGACATGTGGGTGGTTTCCAGTTTTTAGCTGTTACAAAAAGGGCTGCTGTGAACATTTCTGTACAGGTTTTTTGGTGAGTGTCAGTCTTCATTTCTCTGGGATAAATGCCCAGGAGCACAAGTACAGGGTAATTGCGTGTTTAGTGTGTAGGAACCTTCCAAACTGTTTTCCGGAGTGACTGTGTCATTTTCCATCCCCATCAGCAACAGATGAGAGATCCAGTTTCTCTGCACCTCCATTTGGTGTTGTTTCAGTGTCTTTATTTTAGCCCTTCTGCTAGTTAAGTAATGTCTGCTTTAGCTGCTTACAACACTACATTTACATATCAGGTTAAAAGATTAAAGTAAAATTAAAAAGTAATCCATACTTATTTTGTGGAAAACTGAAAAATACAGAAATACATAAAAAGGAAATAAAGTCCTGTTTCTTCTCTTAGGAAAAAACCCGCCACACTGCTGTTTATACCTAAATCAACGTACCCAACTGGCAGACAGCACGAGGCAGGTGCCACTGCTTTCTTCTCACCCCAGGGCTCCACTTGGAACTCTCCTCACCAGGATGACAACTCTGCCCTGGGCCTCTGCTAACATCCCTGTGGCCCTTTGCGTCAGAGCCTCACCTGAGGCTTTACCAGACATCCTCAGTTCTCCTCAAAACAGACAGCTGCAGCCCCAGTTAAAGAAAGCACTGAGGGCTCTCTCCCAAATGTGAGCCACAGACATGTCAACGGGACAGGGCAAGTGGGTCCCAGGGCTCCAGGCAGCGGTGCATGCACATGTGGGGAGGAGCGCCAGCTCGCTCCAGAACAGGTTTCCTCACTGCTTATTGTCCTGTAAAGGCTTTGGCAGCCTAGTAAAGCCTATGGGCCTCTCTCAGAATAACTTTTTTTTTTTTTTTTATGAGATGGAGTCTCGCTCTGTCGCCCAGGCTAGAATGCAGTGGTGCAATCTTGGCTCACTGCAATCTCTGCCTCCCAGGTTCAAGTGATTCTCCTACCTCAGCCTCCCAAGTAGTTGGGACTACAGACGCCTGCCACCACGCCTGCTTAATTTTTTTGTATTTTCAGTAGAGGTGGGGTTTGACCATGTTAGCCAGGATGGTCTCAATCTCCTGACCTCATAATCCACCCGCCTCAGCCTCCCAAAGTGCTGGGTTTACAGGCGTGAGCCACCACACCCGGCCCAGGATAACATTTTAAAATGTGTAATATAAAATACAGGTGGCAGAAATGTAAAATACCAAAAAAAAAAAAAAATGTTTTTTTGAGACGGGGCTTGCTCTGTCACCCAGGCTGGAGCACAGCGGTATGATCACAGTTCCCCGCAGCCTTGACTGCATCCTCCTACCTCAGCTTCCCAAGTGGCTGGGACTCTAGGCACACGCCACTACGTCCAGCTAATTTTTTAATTTTTCTTTTGTAGAGATGGGCGTCTCACTATGTTGACCAGGTTGGCTTCCAACTTTTGGTTTTAAGTAATTCTCCCACCTCAGCCTCCCAAAGTGCTGAGCCAAAATATTTTTAAAAACAAATGTATTCCGTAGTAATATGTAACATTTAATGCAGTGATGAATAAACCACATCTCAAAGTGTCTGCAGTTACAGTGTGAGACGGAAAGTCTGTTTTTTTATTCTCTTAGTGGCAAACTCCTGGGTCCTGATGAACCCACAGGCTCATTGCCACATTCGTAATGGAAAGAAATGCTAAATTCCAGGTACAGCTTAGTGAAAATGAAGATGCCATTTTTTTCCTATCCAAGCTCATGGAGCCCTGAATTTCACAGACCCAGGAAGTACAGGGCCAGTCCTCTTCCCTAAGAGACTCCTGCAGGCTGTCCCTTGGCCTCGGTTCTAAGGGAAGGAAGCCGCCCGCATACAGCCAGGGGCAGGGCAGAGGCACAGGTGGGGTCCCAGGACCCTGGCAAGGGCCTTGTAGCAAGGGACAGTTGGCAGAGAGCCTGTTGTGGGCTGCTGAGAAGGCATGCAGATGGGTTGCAGATCGGCCGCCCCTGGGGCCTGACCCCACCAGGAACGGGCCAGGGCAGAACTCAACCAAGGGAAATTCCCCTTAAAACCTCAATGCACCACCACCTGCCCCAGTTCATCTGGGAGAAACTTCAGCCACTTCTTTTTGATCCCAAGTTTTCTGCTTTAAACCTCAGGGGTAGGTAATGGAAAAAAAAATACAAAAAACAAAAAAACAGATTAGTGCTAAGAAGCTAAGGATCACACAGCAAGTTTTTGGATGGGTCTGCCCACCTTCGTTAGCGCGAAGGCCACTGTCCCGTCATCCTCAGTGGAAAGGTCAAGCAGCTTCTGGTAAAATGCTTCATCATAAGGCCCATCTATTTGTAAGGTTTTTCTGAAGAAGAAAGCACAATAAAAACAGGATGACAAAGCCGCACGGAGGTTGTTTCTTAAACTGCTAACAGTCTACAAAGCCCAGCACCACTAAACATCACACATTTTGTTTTGAAAAACACATAACAGATCTATCTCCCTCATGTTAAACATCAAGGTTTTTAACAGAACTCAGCAAGACCAGAACCAGCGAGCCTTGAAGCTGAGCCTTCTCCTGTTCATGACAAGTAGCATCCTGCGTCAGAGATGCAAGGAAGACCAGCGAGGAAGGAAGAGGATCCTGGCCCCGACTGGACACCGCGGGTGTGGACCCCAATGACCCGCAGTGAAAGCCCAGGACAGAGGCTGGGCTGACACAGAACGACCTGCAGGAGCGCTGCTCAGCTGTGGAGCAACACTGCCCTCTGCAGGCTCAGCCCCATCTTGGGGTTTCGAATTAGCAAGGTCACAGACGTGCTTTCTTTTCTAGAAACAAGTGACCCTGTTCCTCCTTTACAAGGCACTACATTCCAGAGCAGGCCTGGGCACCTGGGAGCGGAGGACTGGGGTAGGAAGTGGCCGGCATGCTTCATCCTCCTGGGAAGCTGTGCCTTGGGAGGCGCATTCTTACCCTGCCCACTCCCACAGTCTCCTCTCAGGGCTGCCCAACAGGGGGACCGCCCGACCTCACCTCTCCTCGGGAAACTCTTCCAGGTATCGCTCAACCCGGTTGTACAGAGGGTAGAGGCCTTCGATGTCCAGCAGGTCCAACATCTGCACCTGGAGGGTTTTGTACAGAAGACAGCCCTTCGGTAACCCCGAGCGCTCTGGGGTGTTTTTTCCTACCGAGAACATCAGGGGAAAACGAGAGCATGTTGATTATCAAAGAACGTGGAGGGAGACACAGGCCGGCGCAGACCGCAGGGCTCATCCTGGGCTCCGCCATACGGGCATCACCACAGGCAAGGACTGCACCCTGGACTGGCACTAAGGACAGACGAGATGACGCTCCCGCCTCACAGAGCTGCTGGAGCTGCAGCGTGCCTGGACCACACTGGATGCACCAGGCCAAGCACAAAGGAGGGAGCAAGAAATGCACATGTCCTGCCTCGTGGCTCTCCTCTCCCAACACAACTCTCAGAATGTCCTTTAGATTCCACCACAACAGCCCTGGAAGTCACTTTATGATCTAAGTTTAGACATAATCCTCATTTTAAGTCAGGTCACAAAATTTCTTCTTTTTCTTTTCTTTTTTTTTTTTGAGACAGAGTCTTGCTCTCTGTGGCCCAGCCTGGAGTGCAGTGGCGTGATCTCGACTCATTGCAACTGCAAGGCAAGGAATTTCTAAGATCCTGCTGACATCCTAAATCTGCAAGACCACTAAAGGAGGAAAACCCTGGGACACTGTCTGCAGAGTCCAGAGCCATGAGCCCACACTGAGAGGCAGGTAAGACCTGGGCTGGCGACAGGCACGAGCTCAGAACCAGCCACACAGAGCCACAGACAGGGGTCAAAGCCACTGACAAGGACCTGTTATATCATAGGGACAGAGGCAGAAACAAAACTCCACTTGCCACTCACAGTTGTTTGGCACCTGTGCTGTACAGGGTGCCAAGTGAGCTTGGGAGGTACCAAGTCCCAGATCATCTCCTGCCACTGAAGGGAGCAACCATCTCCCACAAAGAACCAAACTACAGGCAAAGACACAGTAAGAAAGGTGTCCATGCAGGGGGAAAACTGTAGTCAGCTGCAGATTTCACTAGGACCCGGCACGAAAATGCCAACATGCAGGGAAACAGGAGTAAAAGTTCACATGCCCAACTAGAGGGGATTTGTTAAAATTACAGCAGATCCATGCATGGTCAATAAAGAACAAAATGCATGTGATCTCCAGGCGCCGTGGCTTACGCCTGCAATCCTAACTTTCTGGGAGGCCAATGCTGGCAGATTGCTTGAGCCCAGGAGTTCAAGACCAGCCCGGACAACATGGAGAAACCCCATCTCTACAAAAAAAAAATACAAAAATTAACTAGGCGTGGTAGTGCGTGTCGGTAGTCCCAGCTACTCAGGAGGCTGAGGCAGGAAGATCACTTGAGCCCTGGAGGTGGAGGTTGCAGTGAGCCAAGTTCACACCACTGCACTCCAGCCTGGGCAACAGAAACAGACCTTGTCTTTAAAAATAATTAATTTAAAAAAAAAACATATATGTGATGATATAGATACAGATTTATGCTAGTTAAGTAAAGAAAGTCAAGTTACAAAATGACATGTAGAGTATGATCTTATTGTTTTAAACTGCACATCCCAGCAGCCAGGGCCCAGCTCCACTCCCTCCTGTCTGTGTCCATGTCCAAAAAGGTCTGCAGGAGCCCCGGGGTGCTGTGGCGCCTCCTGTTGGTGCCCCCAGACCACCTCAGCAACTGGTGCCATCTGTCGTTGCAGACACAGTTGGCTTCCTTAAAAGCAATTATGTGCCCAGATTATAGGCATAATTTTAACAAAATTTTCTGAAATGATCAGGAATCACTTTCATAACAAGAAAAAAAAAACCCCCACAAAGTTCATTTGTAGTGAGAAAACATGGTGGCTCATGCCTGTAATCCTAGCACTTTGAGAGTCCAAGGCAGGCGGATCACTTGAGGTCAGGAGTTTGAGACCAGCCTGGCCAATATGGCGAAACCCTGTCTTTACTAAAATACAAAAATTAGGTGTAACGGTGCGCACCTGTACTCAGGAGGCTGAGGCAGGAAAATCACCTGAACCTAGGAGGTGGAGGTTGCAGTGAGTCGAGATCACACAACTGCACTCTGGCCTGGGTAAGAGAGTAAGATCCTGTCTTGAAAAAACAAAAGAAAAAATTGGCACAGATAATAAGGCAGGGCTTAGGGTATGGGTTGGTTTCTGGTTGCACACAAGCAGGACTGCTGTCTTCAAACCATCTCAGGCTCCCAGAGACCATGGGGTCTCTATGGGCTGCCAAGAATCACGGGCAGCGTCAGCTCATGAGATGTCAGGACATGTGGCAGCGGCCAGGCCCGGCTCCTGTCTGCAAGGAAGGCGTCCCGCAGTCCAAAGGCCCCATGGGTCTGTGTCTTCACCCCAGACTTGTGAAGACATCCCATTGTGGTAGGACCCAGCCCTGCAGGATTTCTGTGCCTCAATTCTCTCTGTCTAAGGAACAAGCCAAGGAAAACCTGTCCCCCGGGTTGCAATGAGGATCCAACAGGATATATAACATGGTTGAAAACATTCAACAAACCAGAGAGGACCACAACATATGGATGATATTCTGGGGGAAAATCCTACAGCCCAAATGTGTCCTGCAATTTACAGATGCAGATAAAAGGCAAGAAAGGGAGTCTGCATCTGGGGGTGAGAGGCAGCGAGGCCCCGTGCTGGGAGCCCTGGCGTAACCAGGTGGCATCCCCCAGAGCCCCCAGGAGGCTGTGCTGACCGCCTGGCCACCCATGGGGACTGCAGAGTCCCAAGGCCCCTGCGGCCCCCACCGCCTACCTGGGGAAGGCTGGGCCCTACCTTGGCAGCGAAGGCTCCTACTGAAAGGGCTGGCTTCGCAGACTCGCGGGCCCTGAGGCCCGAGCCCCGGACTCAGGGTGCCTGCCCGGCCCTTGTCCGAGCCACTCAGCAGCACCCGTGTGATCACGTGCACCAGCTCCCTGATCACAGCCCTTGTGCAGTGGGGCCCACTGGCCAGGCCGTTGGAAGGGAAGAAGAACGGCTTCAGGTGGTGTGCAAGCTCGCTCCAGTCAGCCACGGGGCTCCGGGCATCTTTGCAGCCGTAAATCAGCTCACCATTCTTCAGACAGGGAAAAGAAAGAGGGAAACGTCAAACCACCAAGCTTGTAGGAAAAGAACTCAGTCCCCACCACCAGCATCCCAGGCAGCGGGTGAAAGCCAAGGGCCCTGATGCTGTCCACCCAATCTGGGGCCGCTGCATACTCCGGCTCCTCCGGGGAAATCCACCCTCACGAGCTGTGCTATCAACCAAGCACCAAACCTCAAGACATGAAAAGGAAGGAAAGTTTCAAAAACTAAAGAGCAGTGCCCTGGCCTGACCAACGCCCCCAGACAATGATCCACAGTATATTCAGAAGCCAAGAGCAAATGCTCACCACAAGTGACAAACTCCCAAAGCCACCAGCCCAGTTACTCAAGAACCTGAGGGCCTTGGCTCTGGCCCTGAGCAGACAAACGTGAGGATGGCAGTCAGCACCAGCACCACAAACGAGTGTGTCCTGGGGTTCAGGCCACGCCCAGGGTGACCCCAGTGCTGGGTGGTACAGCTGAGCCAGATGGTGGGAGAAGCTGCTGGCATCACCAGTATGGTCCATGCTCAAGACGGTTCTGCCTTCTTAAATCAAGCCCAGCAAAGAAACTCCTTACAACATCAACACTTAGATTCACACATTCCCAGGGCACAGGCAGGGACATCTGCTGCCATGCCCAGGGGGAGTCAACACCATGACTCATGGGGGTCTGGATGCTGCCCAGGGGAAAGGCCCCTGACAGCGGCCAACCCCAGGAGAGTAGCAACTCTTTAAACCTTATTTATTTCTTTTTAAAAAAAAATTTTAATGTTTTTGAGACAAGGTCTCACCCTGTTGCCCAGGCTAGAGTGCAGTGGAGCAATCAAAGCTCACTACAGCCTTCAACTCCCAGGCTCAAGCAATCCTTCCACCTCAGGCTCCCAAGTAGCTGAGAACACAGGCGCACACCACCACACCCAGCAATTTTTTTGATTTTTTGTAGAGACAGGGTTTTGCTACGTTGCCCAGGCTGGTCTTGAACTTCTGGCCTCAAGCAATCCATCTACCTCAGCCTCCCAAAGTGCTGGGGTTACAGGTGTGAGCCACTGCACCTGGCCCACACCTGGAACTTCAGAGCTTTCAGGGTTTTCTGTCTTGCTGGCTTTCAATACTGAACCGGACCAGATCGGCGGGAGAGCTGATGGAACGCACAGTAGGTAACATGCCTTGGCGGTGCCCTGTTATCTTAAAATCATTCTGCATCCCTTCTCTTAATCCATTCCCTTTTCAACTCTTTCGAAACAATCCTAATCCTCAGGACTTTTCCAAGCTGATTTTGACAAAAGTAGCAGACAGCCAGAGTTCCAGAGACATTAGGTGCAGGCCAGATGGGGTCAGAAAAGGATCCACCTGGGATAACATGCCAGCCTTATGACAGGCTTCAAACAAATCCCTGATGAAACAGAATGTATCTTCAGGGCTTAAATATCGAGTTTATAAAAATAAATTATATAAATATGAAATAAAAACTGCCTGTGAAATATGTCTTCCTTTCCTGGATTTGGGAAGGTAGAGGCAGACAGGGAATGAAGCCAATTCACTGCCCAGCAGCCAGCGCCATGGGTTTCTAACCAAGACCTGGGGAGGCAGGTCAAGAGCAGGCGCCATCTGCCCACTGCTGAGAGGCAGCCAGCCGGGCAGCAGGACGCCAGCCATGTGCAGCAGCGAGGAGAGGGGCCAGGGCTTCCAGTTCACCAGTCACCTCGTCCAGACCACGGCACATAGGAAGCTGAGAGGCCCATACTCAACAGCCCTGCCTCCTCTGAAGTATCCACCTGCGATGGCTGTCAGCTCCTGCAGGGAGCCCAGGACTCTGTCCCCAGGTGTCACTTATGTGTGATCATGAGGCTACAACTGGGACTGAGGTGATGACAAGGGGGACCCCAGAGGATACATGTCTAACAGGGACCCGGCACCCTGACTGCCACCCAGGCCTGCCCTGCCCTACATCTCATCCCCTCTCTCCCCAGCAGCCTCTCCTCCGCAGATGCCCCAACCCTGCCCAGCCCCACCCCCACCTCCTCTCCCTTGGACACCACTGCCAGCAGCAGGCCAGGTCACACCAGCCCAGATAGTGCCAGAGCCATCCTCACCCACAGTTCACCCATCTGCTTATAAGGGGAGACCAAGGCCCACCCAGCAACTGGTGGGGCTTTGGTCGAGCACCCCAGGGTCATGAGCAACCCAGGGTCACTCAGATGCTATGCTTGTGGAATCGTGCTCAGAAAAAGGTCAGGGAAAGACAGGTCTGGAACTGGAAGGTCCAAGGTGATGACTGAACCAGTCAGGGCATGAGGACCCCAAAGGGGATGTCAGACACACATGACGTGCAGCCCAGCCCAACACCCTCATCTGTGAGGTCACTTGAACCTTTGCCAGCCCCACCCTGAAACCACCATAGAATCAAAGCAGCTCTTACCTTAAATATCTTCAAGTTGTTCTGTGCCTCCTGCAGCAAACTCTTCAAGGCAAAGTGCATTCTCTGTTTGTTTCTAAAAGGGAAAAGCATTAACATGCTTTAAATGCAGCTGGAACTGACCTGTCCCTGCACACACACCTGCTCGTGGCTCAGAGGACATGCTGGGTACTCCCAGGGGCCGCTGGGAAACCCAGAGTCCAACTAGGTCCAAACAGTGACATTCTCCCCTCACTACAGCCCCACCATGGGCTCCCTCCCCGGAGGGTCACAGATGCAGCTCCACAGCCTGACACGCACTCACCAGAGATGTGGGGGTTGGCCCTGACCCCAGACTTTCGGGAGATGTGAGGGACCCAACTGAGGCACAGGAGTGGGAACCCCACCAGCTGCATCACAGCCCAACCCGAGACGGGTTAAGGGCTGCTATGCCTCCCTTGTTCCTCCTGCCGCAACTTCCAAAGGCTCAGGGGCAGCAGGAGACCTCTGATGGGCCACGAAGGGAGTGCTGGGAGCCAAGGAGAGGCTAGAGCCCCAGGGAGCCCTCGTCCTCCAAGCGACGAGCTGCAAGGATGGCCTCCTCCCCTACCCCCAACGGAGGAACCTCTGGAGGCCAAGCTGCCCATGCAAGCACACGAGCCTGACCCTGCCAGTAGGGACAGCCCACAAGCACACATTCAGAAAGGCATCCAGTATCCACGCACTCTAGCTGACTCCCAAAAGCCTGCATTCTACAACATTCCAGGGAGGTTTCCCTACTTATGTTCTGACACGTTAATAAATTCTCAACAATGAATCTTTATTACTGAATGCTTCACAATTCACAGCCTTTAGGTGCACAGGGAAATCCACATGGGACCCACAGGTGAGGGCACCGCCAGACTCGCTGAAGCCATGGAGTGAGCGGTGTTGGTGCCACCTTCTGAATGAGCATTCCCAATGTTTGTGAACTTTTTAACTTCCAAAGACAACTCCGCGTTCGATCTTTGTTCCCGGAAGTTTAAAAGAGCATCTAACCAAAAGCACTGACATGATGACCAGGCACGCACTCAGAGGCAGTGCTGAGCACTGACAAAGGCAGGGGCACGAAATGAATGGCTGGAGGACAGCAGGGGAAGAAAGAGGAAAGAAACTCACACAGTGGAGCGAGAAAAACCGGACTCACCAGAACAGCTCTGCAGTAACAGGGGTCCCAGGGAGGGAAAGGAGATTGGAAAGAGGAGCTGTGCTGATCAAAAAGGACAACAAAGGCACACAAATCTACATCGCTCTGTGGCCAAGGACTCTCTCCTGGGGGTGTGAGGTGGGGGTGCCTGAGTTGGGGCAGGGCACTGCCATGAGTCCCAGGTCCTGCCTCTCTCCACCTGCTCCCACCCTCAGCCCTGCCAGCATCCTCTGCTGCCCCTTCAGCCCCAGGGCCTGCTCGCTGGGCCCCCAGGCCCCACTGCGGACTGACCCTCCCCAGCTCCCAGCCACTACCGCCTTCCTGACCACAAAGGCTCTGGCCAGGACCGGACTCTGGGCTGCCCCAGGAGAGTAATGTGCAGGATGCACAGCAAAGCTCTGAAGGCCGGGGAGCGTGGAGGCAGGCCAAGGTGGGGAGCAGAGCCCAGGCACCTGATCAGAGGCTGCAAGCAGACCTTGCCGGGGCAGAAATAGCCACTGCAGCAGCAGACTTTTTAATATCCACAGAGGAGGGAGAGATCAAAGGCACAAACAACCAAACTATGAGGGCCCAGACGGATGGAGGTCAAGGCTGAGCACCAGTTGATTTCTGACATAAGTAGAAGACAAATCTAGTCACAATTCAGATGAGGAAACAACCAAAAGTGAGCAAGCACGTCAAACTGTGAGCACAGAGACAAGGCACGGAGCACAAAGCCCCAGGTGTCTACAGCGCTGATGGCAAAAGAGAGCCCTGAAGACAGAACAGGGCCTTCCCTGCCTTCCTACCTCACGAAATACCCCCCACCAGGCACTGGCCCCCGCCCTACCCATCTCCAGGGAACCTGACACAAGGGGGCAAAGGAGAAGTGTTCTCTTACCCTGAGTAGAGATCAAGGGGACAGTATTTGCTGATCTGCTTCCACTTCCCAGTTGCTACCTGTGAAAACACCAACAGGAGGGCATGAGGTGACTGGCGCTGGTGACTGCACTGTGCCAACTGAACACACAGAACAGCATCAGTGATGAAGACAATGAAGACGAGCTGCAGCCTTGCCCCGGAAAAGGTGCCACCACCTTTGCAGGTGCACATCACTAAGTGGCGGAGGGAGCCACTTGACTTCCATTCAAGGAAACCTTGGCCCCATCTGTGAGACATGATGTGGCGTGGCCCCCAGGCCAGCCCTTCACAGGAGCAGGGAAGAAAGTGGCAAACACCTTCAAATTACATGGCTAAATTTTGGTAATGAGAGTAACAAACCTTCAGAAGTTATAATATCCAGTAACAGGGAAGGTGTCCTTAACAAGAAATTTCATATTGCCAGTGGGAAGATAAGTTGGCATAACATTTTGAAAGGCAACTTGCTGGTATCCACCAAACTTTAAAATGCTTATGTCCCCTGGCTCAGCAAATCTACAAGGAACCTAGAAGAAGTAGCACAGGGCAAAAAGGTACAGACACAAGAATGTCCACTGCGGCCTTACTGCTAATAGCAAACCCTGAAACCAAGAGAGACACTCATCAGTAGGGAAATGACTAAATAAATCACAGCCCATCCACTAGTGGGACCAGCACATAGCAAACAATTTATTGAATGAAGAAATGCATAAATGATATGCAGCCACTACCAGAAAGAGGTAGAGTTAAAAGTCACCAAAATTTATTCAAGGAAAAAAGCAACTGGCAGAACAATGGATACAGTGTAATGTCAATTTTGCTTAAAAAAAAAAAAAAGCTTATGTGCAAATATCCATGCATATATCCAAATATGCACTGAAAAAGCCCTAAAGAATATATCACAAACAATCCTCAAGGATTAAGTGAAAAAAGCAATTAGACAAAGTACATATGGCATGATCCCATTTTTGCTTTGCAAGGGTGTGTGTATGCACGTACAGGCATGTAAACATTAGAACATGTGGACAGAGATCACTTCATTTCCACCTGAATTACATGCATATTTTTGTGGGCACAGGAAGAAGTCTGGAAAGATATGCAAATATATCTGACAATATGAGTTACCTGGGAAGGCAGGTAATCCAATTCATGCCATGTCATATGTTACCAGTTATATGAGCAGGTAGTGCTTTATAGTAAAATGTATTTCTTAAACATCTGTCACATATGTTGAAAGTGAATGGTGACCATGAAAATTGCATCCCAAGGGGCATGGCTCACATAACCGTCTTTCCCCTAAGAGCTTAGATAGTAATCACACCACAAAGAAAAGAAGGGGTGATGTTGGTGAAATAGTGGAGCAATGACCTCCAGAAATTCTCTCCTCTGTAAAGGCAATCAGAAAACTGGTTAAAAAAAAATGTCAGAATCAAAAAGTTTTGAACTCTGGAAATTGACCATAGACTTGCAACAATCCAGGAAGCATTTATTCAAGAAAAACAGCTAAATCTAAGCAAGATCAGTGAGCTTGTTGGCACTTTAAATGCCCTATTCCCATCCCTGTATCTCTAGCTCCAAGGTTCAGAACCTTGAAAATGAACAGCCGCAATCACAGTGAAAACCAGCTGCCCAGCAGCCACAGAGGACGCAGATGAGGGCAGGACATCTCCAAAGCCTCGTTCTCAGACAATCACTTATTTGACCTGTCTCTGGGTTCCCGGAAAGATCACACTTGCAAGCGTTCCCGGAAAGATCACACTTGCAAGGCTGTCTTCACTGACCTGGCTCAGAACTCACCCGTGCAGGAGGCCTTTTCCCCATGGGCATTTGTCAAAAACATTTAGAGGCAATTGTTTAACTTCATGGTTTCCTTGGAAGGAAACCCACTAGCTGCCCACTAAGCTAACTGAGCAGACTTTATTGGCCACATATGACAAAGAATACAGACTTCACAAAATTAGCGCAGAAAAGTCCCTAAACAAACAGTAACAACTACAAGAAGCAGCAATAAAAAATCCTGGAGAGGGAGTAGAATCTAATTCCAGAGGGGCCACATTATATTATTTCAAATGCCCACTTTCAACCTATCATCACAAAACACGCAAAGAAACAAGAAAGTATTGCCCATATACAACAAAAAAAGCAATCACTAGACTGCCCTGAGGAAGCCCAGACACTGGACTTACCAGACAAAGACTTCAATCAACTATTTTAAATATGCTTAGAGCTAAAGGAAACTAGGGACAAAGAACTAAAAAGAACAAGGAGAATAATGTCTCAACAAATAGAGAATATCAATAGAGAGGTAGAAATTATAAAAAGGAACCAAAAAGAAATTCTGGCTGGGCATGGTGGCTCACACCTATAATCCCAGCATTTTGGGAGGCTGAGGTAGGCAGAGTGCCTGAGCTGAGGCGTTCGAGACCAGCCTGGGCAACATGGTAAAACCCTGTCCTACAAAAAATTCAAAAACTAGCTGGGCATGGTGGGGTGCGCCTGTAGTCCCAGCTACTTGGTGGGGGCTGAAGCAGGAAGATGGCTTGAGTTCAGGGAGTCAAGGCTGCAGTGAGTCATGTTCACGCCACTGCAGTCCACTCTGGGTGACAGAGCAAGACCCTGTCTAAAAAGAAAAAAAAAGAAAGAAAGAAATTCTTTAGTTGAAAAGTACAGTAACTAAAATGAAAAAGTAACTAGAGGGGCTCAAGAACAGGCTTGAGTAGGCAGAAGAGAAAATGATTGAATTTTAGGATAAAGACCAAGAGATCTACACCTAGACACACCATAATCAAACTGTCACAGGACAAAGCCCAAGAGAGAATCTTAAAAAGCAAAAAGAGAGAAGTGGCTCATCCCATACAAAGCACCTTCCCTAAGATTAACAGCTGATTCCTCCATGGTTTCATTAGAAACCATGGAGGCCAGGAGGAGGCAGGATCATGACATATCCTCAGTGCTAAAAGAAAGATTGCCATCCAAGAATTCTATATCTACCAAGACTATCCTTTGAAAATGAAGGAGAAATTAAGACATTGCCAAATAAACCATAACTAAAAGAATTCATTGCTAGAAAACCTACCCTACAAGAATTACTAAAGGGAGTCCTTTTGGCTGAAATAAAGGATACTAGATAGTAACTCAAATCCACAGGAAGAAATAAAGAGTATCAGTAAAGGTAACTACATAGGCAAATATAAAAGAAGGTATAAACACATTTTGTAATTCTTGTTCCTCTATATAATTTAAGAGACAACTGCATAAGGTAATAATTACAAATCTGTATCACCCAGAACATCATGTAGAAACATCTAATTTGTATCCCAATAACAGCACAAAGGTTGGGGGAGGGAGCAAAGCTTTAGAGGAGCAAAACTTTGTCTATGATTGAAATGGAGTTGGTATTAACCTGAACTAGACTGTTCAGGTTATTATCTTAAATTAACACTCAGAGCAACGAGGCAGAAAGTCAACAAGAATGAAGGCTTGAACAACACTATGAACCAACTAGACCGAACACATCTATAGAAAATCCACCCAGCAACAGCAGGTTACACATTCTGCCCAAGCAAACATGGAACAGTCTTGAGGAAGAACCTTATGTTAAACCACAAAACAAGTCTCAATACATTTTAAGAGTGAAATCATGCAAACAATGTTCTCCAAATACAGTGGAATGAAACTAGAAATCAGTAACAAAAGAAAATTTGACTCACAAATGTGTAAAAAGTAAACACTCCTAATTATCAGTTCGTCAAAGAAGAAAGCAAAAGAGAAATCAGAGAATGAATTAAGATAAAATGAAAACACAACATACCAAAATGTATGGGATGAAGAGAAAGCAGTTACTTAAAGATTTATTAGAAGAATGATCTTAAATGAATAACCTAACTTTCTACAATAAAAAGCTAGAGGCCGGGCACGGTGGCTCACACCTGTAATCCCAGCACTTTGGGAGGCCGAGGCAGGTGGATCACGAGGTCAGGAGATTGAAACCATCCTGACTAACATGGTGAAACCCCGTCTCTACTAAAAATACAAAAAATTAGCCAGGCATGATGGCGGGCGCCTATAGTCCCAGCTACTCACTGCACTCCAGCCTGGGTGCAGAACGAGACTCCGTCTCAAAAAAAATAAAAAAATAAAATTAGAAAAAGAATAACACACTAAGCCCAATCCAAGCACAGGGAAGGAAACAGTAAAGATTAAAGTGAAGACAAATGAAATAGAAAATGGGGGAGAGGGGAGCAGAAAACTGAATAAAACCAAAAGTTGTTTCTTTGAAAGATCAACAAATATGACACAATCCTGTGGCTAGACCAAGGAAAAAGAGACAGAAACCAAATTACTAAAGTCAGATATGAAAGAAGGGGACACTACTACTGACCTGTATGCCATCACATTAGATGAAAATGGACAAATTCCTAGTAACACACAACTACCAAAAAAACCCACTCAGGAAATAAGAGAATCTCAACAGATTGGTAACAAGAGACTGAATCAGTAATCAAAAATCTTCTAACAAAGAAAATCCCAGGACCAAATGCCTTCACTAGTGAATTCTACCAAACATTTCAAGAAGAATCAATACCAATACTGAAACTCCTTCAAAAAACTGGAGAGTGAAAAGAAAATAATTCCTAACTCATTCCATGAAGCCAGTTATTACACTAGTACCAAAGCCAGACACCACTAGAAAACTACACACCAACATCCCTTATGATTCAAAAACCCTCAACAAAAAACTAGCAAACTGAATTC